>NC_000016.10:63350378-63653409 GCF_000001405.40 Homo sapiens
ATGAAATAAGTCTTAAGGAGAACATCAAAATACTGATAATCAATTTTGTAATATTTTTGATCTTGCAAGCTAATTTAAAAGGATAACTTAAACAGTTAATATTAGTTGATAACTAATAACTATTGTGACTAAATTATCTAAAATCTGTAAGCTCATATATACAACTGAATATTGTTCCATTTGAAATAGTCCCTTGAAAGCCTAGACTCTTATTTCACAGACACGGATATCGTTAAAACTTGATCAGAAACCAGTTTTGTTATCCTTATCTCAATGTAAATGTCACGGTATAGAAAGGCTGAGGTAGTAATTTAATTTAATTTAAAGTAATTTTTTTTCAGAGTCCACGAGGCATTTTATTTGTAAACATGTATTACATCTCTAGAAAGATAATCCCAGGACTTTTCCTCCTGTGTGTTTTCATCTTACTTCTTCATGGTCCATGATGACCCTTGAGGTTTGTACAATGAAACCAAACTAGCGGACTGGGATCGCATTAGTCTGTCATTTTTCTAGACCTTTGAGTTTTACATCAACTCTGGGGCTAATCATCCCACACTTGTTTAGCCTGCCCGTGAGGGTCACGACAATTTTCCCAGCTCTGTGACCATCAATGATTTCAGATTTGCCAGTGTAGCCATGCTTCATCATCAGAGTTAGAAACCGAATGATGACTTTGGAGCACAGCCTAATGAGAAACTGGCATTTTCCTCTCTTTTCAGCATCGTTGATGCCCTTGAGAGCATCAGTCAGGATATTCATGTGCGCCATTGTGGCGCAGAAAGATGGCAGGAAGGGTTAAAGGGTAATTTTTAAATGAGAAATTAGTTGGCTTTGGAACAGACAGAGTAGATGCTTCCTCACTCAAACCTAGAGGGATAGCCTGGAGTGGGGGAACACAACTATACGGTTTCTAATTTATGCTCCCAAATTCTAGAGTTACAAGGCAAGTCCATAGCAAGAGCATAACAAACTACACTGTAGGAAGTAATCTTTTGCCCACTGACCATCTACATCATATTTCCAGTTTTAATGCTAGAAAGAAGAGGCTGGGGAAAATGTTACAGAGATCAATCATTGTTGAGAGAGGCTATGAGGGCCTGAAAAGGGGAATTCTGTTTCATATGGGCCTCTAAGAACCAGAGACCAAGAATCAGAAGCCTCCCAAGAGTGTATTCTCATCTGATACATTGATAGGAAAGTGAGATAGTCATAGTGATGTTTTAAAACACACTTCAAAAATCACTCCATGAAAAAATGTAGTCAATGTTAAATTTGTCTCCAGGAAGATTTCGGTGACAAAAACCACAGCAGTGTCAATCAAGTTAGATCTTTATTTTTTGCCCTCTTAACTACCATGCATGACCTCCCTACTCCCAATACACAAATACATACTCAGAACCTGGTGAAATTAAAACAAATGTGCAGCTAAAAACTTAGAAGATGGCAATGGGGAAAGAATGCAAAGGAAGTAGATAATGTAAACCCAACCCCAGGTCACAATGCAGACTTTCTACCCATTGTGAGCCAGAGTTGGGAGAGTAGAGAAGATACCACTACAAATTAAGACCAGAGTGCTGGTTGTTACACTTGTGTCAACATTTTAATTGTTAAACTATTGCTGTGGAGGCTTGGAAATGACAAGCTAACTTATTAACTGAGATTGAACAGAGAAGAGCAAGACTTATGTGAGACTTCAAACAGGAACAGGGGACAAACTAGCTCCAATAAAAGCATTTACAAGCACAGTAAAAGGAAAAAAATCATTGGCCTACCTGCACGAAAAGAAATATGGAAGGGAAATCTCTGGTTTGAAAGAGTATGATATCAAAATGAAATTATGATCTACTGAAAGGAAAGATCACAAAAATGACAAACATGTAGATAATATAAAATTATATTTTTGTATCTTTTCTTAACTTCTTTAATTTTTTAGCAGTTTAGAACAAAGCTAACATATACAGAATATTAGACTACATAAAATAATAGTAGTACAATTCTAAGGGTACCCAATTATACTAAAAAAATTATATCCATATAAGTAGGTTGGAATAAATACATACATGTGTGAATAAATGCAGTAGTAGTAACAATTGTTGCTCTTCTGAAGAATTCAATATATAGCCTTATTTAATCCAATCACTCTAAATTGGAATGTGTAGTTCTATATATAAGTGTGTACATAAATAATTAGTATAATTATATTATGTTATATATTCATAGGCTTGTAATATTTATATTTGTATACTATATGCAATATATAAAATATAAATGCATTTTATCTGCATATATTAATGTATGGTTTGTATGTTTCTATGTATGTGTTTATGCATGTGTATATAACCAATAGAGGAAATATAATGTGATACTAATAAATAAATTAGAAATCAATAAATTATTAGAGTTATAAATACCATAAATAAATATTAAAAATATATTCTAAAGTAAATAAAAATAAAAATGCAACATATTAAATAACATGATCCAGGTAAAGCAGTCCTTAGTGGAAAATTTATAGCTATATATTTATACATGAAAGATAAAAGTTCAAAATAATAACCTAAGCTTTTACATTTGGAAACTATCAAAAGATAATATGCACATTCCAAAATAAGAATAAAAAAGATAATCATTTGGATAAAGAAAAATTTAATGTAACAGGAAAAAAACACAATAGAGAAAAATCAACAAAGCTGCAATTTGATTATTTGAAAAGGTCAAATGAAGTGATAAATATATATTTAGAATAATCAACAAACAATAAAAGAGAAATGAATTATCTATATAAAAACAATACAGGGGATATCACTACATGTGCTATGTAGAACAAAAGAATAAAAAGAAAATGTTACGTAAAAATATGTACTACATTTGATAAGGTACATTAAATGTATGTATTGCTTGAAAATCCAACTTAACAAAAGGAATATAAGATGGAATGGATGATAACAGTATTAAATAACTTAAATTTTTATTACAAACTTCACAAAGAAAGTTTCTGCCCAAGATTGAATTTATTTGGGACTTATGTCAAATATTTATGGAAGAAATAATATTTAATTTACCCAAATACTTTTGTAATGAAGAAAAGGAGAGTATAATTTCTTGCCCATATTTTTCATAACACACTGCTAAATTCTAACAAACATTCAGGGGAGAAAAAGACAGAATAAAGGAGAAAAGTCAACAGATAGAAAAAGCATTTGAAAAAATTCAACACCAATTTATGACAAAATTTTCAGCAAACTAGATATAGAATGAAACTTTCTCAGAACATATAAAGGCAATTATGATTGCACCCAACATCATAATTTAGTTAATTTTGATCACTTTCTTTCTATTACCAGAAGAAAGACAAGGGTATTTTTCTTCATTTCTATTCAACATTGTAATAAAGTTTATAGCCATTTCAATAATGCAAGAGAAAGAAGAAGGCCTTCATAAAAAGAAGTAAAACATTATTTATTTGCCAAGTATCTAGTAATTTACACTGAAAATCTAGTAATCTAAAAATCTAATAAAAACACAAAGCTATGAATAGGAAATGAATTTAGCAAAATTCTAGGATGCAATACCAATATAGAAAAGCATGAAATATATATGTAAATATATGTGTGTATAAATATATGTATGTATTTATAGGTATTCAACAACACAGGGAAATAACATTAAACTTAAAATATATTCATAATAGCATCAAATCAAAACACTCAACAATAGGTTTTATTTAAAATATGCAAAGAAAGCATAGGTTTTTAATAAATAATTAAATAAATTAACATTTTTTACAGAAAGAAATTGCAGAAGACCTACATAAATTGAGTTACAAACCATGTATGTATTTTAAAAGTCTCAATATTATTAAAATGCCAATCCTCCCCAAATTTAAATGATATATTGAACACCATTCCAATTAAGTTTCCAGAAGTTTGTTTTGTGAAAATTGACAACTCAATTCTAAGACTTGTATGGAAATTCAAAGAATCCAGATTAGCCAAAATAATTTTGTAAAAAGTAATCAAATTAAAAGGCCTTGAATTATCTTATCTCATGGCTAAAATAAGCTACTGTAATCAAAACAATGTGGTATTGATGCATTGAAAGACAAATAATTTAGAGCTACAGAATGGTGTCCAGAAATATTTTAACACATACATGATCAATGAATAGTGAGTAAAGTTATAAACAATTTTGAATGCTTGCTTATATCAAGCAACAGCTTATGTGAGATATCAATATCTAAATGTAACATTTTAGAACTCATAATATAATGTGTTTGCAACCTTGGGGTAAGGAATGCTTTCTTATGTTGAACACAGAAATCACTGTACATAAATATTTTATAAAATGAAAAACTTGACTTTAACAAAATTAGTAAGATTTGCTCTCAGAAAAAGCAAAACTTAGAAAACAGAAATGGAAGGACTTGACTTGAAAATATAAAACAGAATTGGATCTTGAATTATAAAGTACTTTTACAACTCAATGATAGGTACCCAAACAGCCCAATTTAAAAATGATTAAGAGATACAACTTAAACACAGAGGAAAGGCTTAAAAATGAGTGTATGATAAAGCAAATATAGTACAATTAGTAGAATATGGGTGTTGGGTATGCACATTCTCATTATATCAATGTTCTTTCAATTTTGTCATATATTAGAATTGTTTATAATAATAATAAATAAAAATATTGAGCTGTCCATTTACAATTGAAGTACTTCATTTTGGTAAATAGTGTTTCTAGAGAAAGGTTCTCCAATTTTACTGTACATAAATATGATTTGTGAGTTACAAACAACTGCAACAACAACAAACAATGCAACAAAACAGAAGGTATTGGCTCTACTTTGATTCTAATCTGATTGGTGTAATAGTCATTTATATTTTTAGAACCTTCCCAGGTTATTAAAACGTACCTTCAGATTTTGGAACTACTGATGTAAGGCTTTGTACACAAATAATTCACCTGGACTTGTTGTAAATGCACTTTCTGATTTAGTAAGTCCAGGTTTTGAAATTGTACATTTTCAATAAGCTTCTGTAAGGTCCAGCCCTACAGGGCCTGTGGGTTTTTCTCTTCGTGTGCGGAGACGGTAGATGGTAGAAATAAAGACACAAGACAAAGAGATAGAAGAGAAGATAGGTGGGCCCGGAGGACCACTACCACCAAGACACGGAGACCCATAGTAGCCCCAAATGCCTGGCTGCAGGCAAGAGGGCAGGGTAAGGCGTGTGAGTCTTCTCCAATGATAGGTAAGGTCACGCAAGTCACGTGTGGACAGGGGGCCCTTCCCTATTTGGTAGCCCAGGCAGAGAGAGAGGGGACAGCTTACGTCATTATTTATTCTATGTATTTCTCCGAGAGATCAAAGACTTTAATACTTTCACTAATTCTGCTACTGCTTTCTAGAAGGTGGAGCCAGGTGTACAGGGCGGAACATGAAAGTGGACCAGGAGTGTGACCGCTGAAGCACAGCATCACAGGGAGACATTTAGGTCTCCGGATGGCTGCGGGCAGGCCTGACTGATGTCAGGCCTTCCACAAGAGGTGGTGGAGCAGAGTCTTCTCTAACTCCCCACGTGAAAGGGAGACTCCCTTTCCTGGTCTGCTAAGTAAGGGGTGCCTTCCCAGGCACTGGCGCTACTGCTAGACCAAGGTCGGCTAAGTAACTGGTGCCTTCCCAGTCACTGGCATTACCGCTGGACCAAGGAGCCCTCCAGTGGCCCTGTCCGGACGTGACAGAGGGCTCACACTCTTGTCTTCTGGTCACTTCTCACCATGTCCCTTCAGCTCCTATCTCTGTATGGCCTGTTTTTTCCTAGGTTGTAATTGTAGAACAAAGATTATTATAATTTGGAATAAAGAGTAATGCTACAAACTAATGATTAATAATATTCATATGTAATCATATCTATAATCTATTTATTGTATAACTATTCTTATTGTATATATTTTCTTTATTATACTGGAACAGCTAGTGCCTTCAGTCTCTTGCCTCGGCACCTGGGTGGCTTCCCGCCCACAAGCTCCTAAGTGATGTAGATATTGATGGACCAGGGCCACACTTTCTGTTCCCAGGTTCTGCCATCGTATCACATTAAGTGTGCATCAGAACGTCCAGGAGAGCTTTTTGAACGTGAAATTGCCAAACTGTATTCCCATCACCAACTACTTCTGATTGAATAATTTTGGAGTATGACTCAAGGATGTTCACGTCTAGAAAGTTCTCAGGTGATGTTGGTCCTCTTGGAAAAAGAACCAACTTTGAGAATCATTACTCTAAAGCTGTGCTGTTCAATGTGGTAGTCAATAGCCACATGTGGTAGTCAATAGCCACATGTGGTTATTAAATATATGAAATGTGACCAGTTCAAATCTAGACATTCTTTTAGTATAAAATACTAAATTTCTAGATCTAAGTAATGTAGCTGAAATTGAAAAAATAATGTGAAATATCTCAATTTTATATTGATTTAATGTACAGTGTTTTAGGTATCTTTGTGAGTAAGTTATACTGTTAAATTAATTTTACTTCCTTTTAAACTTTTAATGTTGCTAATATAAAAATTAAAATTGCATATATGGCTCAGGTTATTGTCTTGCATTTTATTTCTATTGGCCAGCACTGCTGTAGAGTCTTATCAAGAGTTTGTGCTAGATCCCTGATCTGAATTTTGCTTGTCCACCTAATTTTTTGTATCTGTTAAATGAGATGTGATCAAAAGGATTCTCAACATTAAAAATTTTGAGATATAATCTCTTGTAATTTCTTTTATTATTTTATAACTGGTTCAGACAGGGACTTCTTTTCATATTCAGTTACAAAAGTATATGGACCACCTTTAACTAAAATTGTGAACATTTCTTCAGGTAATTTTAATGTCAAAACTTACTCTCTAGCTCTACCTTTCATAATAACCTCTGGCAACCTGTGGCCTCACAGAGAGGGTCTCCTTCTTCCCGATCTCTTTTCCAACTGCCTGTTTTTGTTCTATTTCCTTTATCTGAGATATTCTTTTTCCTCTTTTGCCTATGAAAATCCTGGTACTCCTTCAAATACCAGCATGACCCATCTGTGGGAACTGATCACTTACTCTTCTGACTCTACCTGTCTTGCCCCCAGCTTTATGCCTATCCCTTTAAAACAGAATTTTTCTCCTTACTTCAATAATCTAGTGTGATGTCCTATGTCTATCCCTGCACTAATGAGTTCTGTGACTACTAAGACCATAAACCTTTCTGCTTGCCTCATCTTTAGTGCTTAACTTAGTTTTTACACATGGTGGCTGCTCAGGGCTTGTTTGCAGAATACGTTCCCATTTTTGTATGCATGGGAATGTATTTGTTAATTTATAAAAGCAATATGTGAAGATGTGATGTATTCTTGGGTTTTATTTAAAATGCTGCTTTGGAGCTGGAGTTGTCTCATTAGCAATTCACTAGGGTAATAATTGCATGTGACACCACAAATGTATTGTGTCCTATTTTCTAAATCCATGGGTGGAAATAAAAACAAGGGTTGGATCTTAAACAAACACAAAATAGAGAGATATTTCCTTCCTGTGTTTTAACTCCTAGTCTGACAAGGTAAATTGTAATGTTCCTACCTTGGAAAAATGTTTTCCCTATTTATTTTGAGAATTCGCCATAAGTAATATTACCCTGCAGCTTAAAATTTTAGCCTTAATTTGACTGAAGAAAAAGTCTTCCTTTAAGCTAGCATTAGTATCTTCGCTTTTAATATTATAAGCTAAACATAGTCTTTTTAGAATAAGCATTGATAAGAAATGGAGGTTGCACATCTAAATGGAGTGATGTAAATAACAGAAGATAAAAGTAGCTGTTTTCCATGTTTTCCTGGTATTCTTCTTCCAGTTGAGAATTATCCTGTGTGATTCCCCCTATCCACAAGCCCTAAATCTAATATAGGCCCACAAGAAATATTTAATTTCACTTAAGTAGTTGCCTATTGCAAGCACAGAATATACCCATTTGGTGCTTCATGAAGGCCAAAAGCATGAAAATATAACCAAGAAGAAGTCCAAAATCACTCGAGCAAGCTAGACTCCCATCTCAACCCTCTCAGCATCCAATTTACGGTCAGACAACATGAAACCACAGAAAAGTTGAGTAATTAACCATTCCAAACCATTCAATATATATTTGATGAAACTTTTCTGGAAAAGTAAAGTGTTTTTCCAATGTTAACTCATACTTAGCCAGAGTTTAATTATCAACAATTTATCTGGACACCGTTCCAAGTCCTTTTCAACCACCATACAATGTGAGGAGCCCTCTGTGAGGGGCCCTCTATCCTTTCATATTCCATTTATTCTCTTTTTCCAGTTCACTTCTAACTCCAGAATTCCCCTTGCACACTGCAGACACCGTTCAAAAGTAGGTCAGTAGTTTCTTGTTAAGTAACACCTTCCTATCTTCAAACAGAAATAACATAAGCCTAAATGAAAAGGCCCTATAATGACCTTTTCAAAAGCCAAGAGGAGAAGGATTGGTCTGAAGGACCCTTGGACATAGCTAAGTTCTTCAATCAATTTTTTAATTTATTAAAATAGTTAAATATCAGGCCAGGTGCGGTGGCTCACGCCTGTAATTGCAGCACTTTGGGAGGCTGAGGCAGGAGGATCACAAGGTCAGGAGTTCAAGACCAGCCTGGCAAATATGGTGAAACTCTGTCTTTACTAAAAAATACAAAAAAAATTAGCCAGGCATAGTGGTGCCCTCCTGTAGTACCAGCTACTCAGGAGGCTGAGGCAGGAGAATCACTTGAACCTGGGAGGTGGAGGTTGCAGTGAGCCGAGATCGTGCCACTACACTCCAGCCTGGGCAACAGAGTGAGATTCTGTCTCAAAAAAAAAAAAATAGTTAAATATATTTGAGGAGAAAAACTGCTAAACAGTGATATTAATTAAAGGAACTTCTATAGTCTTTGTTACACTAATTAATGTAAATTGTGAAAATCCATGTTGGGGATATTGTTTGCTACTTTTTCAACTTTGACTAAAAATCTCTTTTTTGTTTTTTTTGAGATAGAGTCTTACTCTGTCGCCTAGGCTGGAATGCAATGGCTTGATATCAGTTCACCTCACCTCAATCTCTGACTCCCAGGTTCAAGTGATTCTTCTGCCTCAGCCTCCCCAGTAGCTGGGATTATAGGTGGCTGCCACCACGCCCAGCTAATGTTTGTATTTTTAGTAGAGAGGGGGTTTCACCATATTTGTCAGGCTGGTCTCGAACCCCTGACCTCAGGTGATCCACCTGCCTTGGCCTCCCAAAGTGCTGGAATTACAGGCATGAGCCACCATAAAACTCTTTACACACACACGAATACATGCACACACGTGTGCACACATGCACAAGCACCACATTTACAAATATCAAACAGCTAGTGCCAGTGCTCCATGGAATATATTTGGGAAACGCAGCTTTATAGAAAAAAAAAGGGGGTGGGGATGCTTTGTTTTGGGTCACATGATAGCGACTGTCTAATAAGGGAGATTAAATTATTCCAAGAACATAAAATCAAAGATTAAATATTATTAAAGAGCTATGGGCATGTATGGATCTTCAGAAATTTGAAGTGTTTCTGCAATTAATATGAGAGACAGACGTGAGCAAAAAGTCACGGAGAGTTTGGAAAATAAGAGACAGAACGGGATGTATTATGAACATAGCCAGAAGTTTGGTTCTTAACAGCAATGGTTCTCAAACAGAGATGAGTGATCTCCCCACTCTCTCTTCCCAAAGGCATGTGGTAACACCTGGTGACATGATGTGGTTGTCTCACTGGTGTGAGAGCGAGCATGTTATTGGCATCTAGTGGTTTGATGCTAGGGATGCTGCCAACCATCCCCAGCACTTGTAGTGCAAAGGCTAGCCCCACCATCATCACCACTGTCACCACTGTGGAGGCTTACCTCTCTTGATATGCCAATAGTGGCACTGTTGAGAAGGCTCACTCTATAGCCTTCTATGTGTAAGGGCATGACAGTCTTGGGATCATGGTTAAGGTTATATGGAGGATTTAGAATTTTAGGAAAAATAATGCATATTTTTCAGTTGTCAAAAGACAATCAGGATTTTTTTTTTCCCTAGGCAAGATACTGGTCGTTAAACTTGAATTGACAAATTTATAAATACATAGGTGGATGCAGGGGTAGGATGAAAAGAGGGAAAAGTAAAGACGAGGCTAAAGTGAGAGGTGGTGAGGCAGTTATATGTATGAAAAAATAAGAGGCTCAGATAGTCTTATTACTACTATCATGAGCAATATTTGGGCATATGGCCTCCTAGAATTTTTTAAATAATTTATGACACTGTATCACTGTATATTATATTATAGTGCATATCATGAGTTTATTAGGCAGGGGACCCTACTATGTGCTATTTTGTAAGTCTACAATTAAATACTGTTTCAATCTATAAAAATCATATATATACATATATACATATATACATATACATATATGCACACATATATATAAGATTTTTCTAGATTAAAACATGTTTTATATATATATTTTTATACCAACATATATATAAAACATATATATAACATATTTATATATATAAAACATATATATATATATGTATATTCCAGATCAAGTGATGCCACTCAGTAGAAGGAGGACAACAGAGACCTACATAGTTTCTTTGAATCTCTGCAGTTTCTCATTTTCTAACTCTTAACTCCTTGAAGACATCAGTTTCTTTGAATCTCTGTAGTTTCTCATTTTCTAACTCTTAACTCCTTGGAAGACACCTTGTGTCTTTGATTTGGCCAGAAGAACTGCATGTTAGTATCCTGGCCACTAGATGGCAATAGCAAGACAGTGTTTGATGATAGCAGGTTCTTGGTGTCTAGGTTTAAAAAAAAATACTTTTTTTTTTGTTTGGTAATTCAATTTGTGTCTGTCTATCAGAAAAGGATAAGGAGATTTCAGAGGCAGACGGCAAGGGGAAAGAGCAAAGAGCATTAGTGGTACAATTTCTTTATAAGAAACAAGAAATAGAGCTTCTTTTTTGTACACCACAAACCTGCCCTTTCTCCAAGTGAAAACATTTCACACAATTGCAGCCCTACATTTAATAGCTGTGCATCCCTTAGCAAAGGCAGGTCCTTACAGGGCAATCACCATCACTCTCCTTTCCCACATACAAATACTTGAAAGTGGTGTCTGTTTTGTTTTACATTTACTGGTAAGGATAATCCCATTTTAGTTCACAATTTTATCCGCTAAAGACATTTCTCTGCTGTCAACCAATAAACATTTTTCATTCATCTACAGTAATGTGCCAGTAGTGGTATGTTGGCCAGCCTAGGAATCAGCATGGAGATCAGAACTCTATTTATTTGAGCCATGCAATATATCGAACATTTCATAAATGGCTTGTCTTTGTCCATGTTTTAGCCAAGCATGCTACCACCTTCATTTAACCACCTAAAGGGAATCCAAACATTTCTGCTCTCTGTTCTTATTTTCCCCAAATTTGCTAACAGATTGTGCTACTGTTAGCTAAAGTTATCAAAATATCTGATAAACGGAGTGGCATGTGGTACAGTGTAAAATTTTTTTATGGAATGGATGGGTGGATGGGAAGAGAAGCAATAGTTACGGTGAGGTGACCAAGAATAATAAAAGATTGAAGAAATTTTTAAAAATGTTTAATTACCATTCAAATGTACTTCTAAGTTCATTGTTGGTATAAAAAGATTCTATTTCTTCATTTTTAAAATGAGTGAGAATCTGGGTATTTATGTAGATATAATATTGTCTCCCCAAAACATTCTGTTCTCAGGATGGATGACTTTTGGGAGATTAGAGTATGTTTTTAATGTGTATTAAGGAGACATTTTAAATGTTCTGTTTTGAAGGAGAATAGCTTATTTCACTGATACCCTTGGTTGTTTTCCTTTTCTTTCTTTTTTTCTTTTCTTTCCTGTCTTTTATTTTTTCTCTTCCTTCCTTCTTTTCTTCTTTCCTTCTCTCTCTCTCTCTCTTCCTCATTCTGTCTGTCTGTCTCTTTTCCTCCTTTTTTAAAAAAGTATCTATAAAACCACTTTTCTTTGTGAGGTGCTTGTGATAGAGGGACATTGCTGTTACTCATATTAAACTTGCTTTAAAATTTCATGGTATCAAAAACTAGGATGTGTGGTGACTCTTCAAAAAGGTAATATTTAGGTTGAGACTTGGAGAATGACTCTGAACATTCAGAGGTGGGGTGGGTGGAGGGATCATGGTGGGGATGGGGGAGATGGTGTGGCTGTTCAGGACTACGGGACAATATAGGCAGTCTTTAAATATATATGGAACTTTGTTTCTTCCACAAAATGAAATAGGATTAAGTGTTTGAAGCCCAAGAGGAAAGGAGAAAAGAATACATGTTGAATTTGGATAAGCACATCACATAAGATCATACATTTTAACAACAGAGGAGACTGTTGGATCTTAAAATATATGTATATTTTTATGTATATGTATATTATAGATTGCCTCCTGTTCTTCACTGAGAATCTATGAGAATACTAAAGGCCAATTAAAGGGTAATCGATACATTACTCATAAACACTAAAATAGAAAAATAAGGAAAACAAAATCTTCTCTAAATAATAATGTTAACACACAAATTTAAAATTACAGTGGGTATAAAACCTGTTACATATTTAAATCACATGATGGTTTAAAAACATATCATGTTAAGCTGTCTTAAATATGCAGATTTAATATTGTGTATCTCTAGTGCTTCTAAGTTATTCGTGTTTGTTTTCAGATGATTATAATGTGCAATTAAGATTGAGAAACATGGTACCAAGGAGGAGGCATATACATTGCTAACTGTGGGACTAGTCCCTTTTTAAAAATTAGTTCAGCCTGTGTATCTTTGTGACGCAAATTTACTTAAATAAGTTCAATATTTAGAGGAACTGGCAGGCCTCTAGTTCATCCTGTGGGAAGCTTGAAAGGAAATATAGCTATGAGGTCACATGATAAGACACCATGATAAGTGGGACCTGCCACTAGCTTCCCCTTGTCCACCTTTCTTTCTGCAATGTGAGAGAACATTAGTCCCATAGACACAGGCAAACTTGCAGACTATCTGAGCAGAATTCACACTGCAGACCTGCTTCCAAGGGAGTAAACAGGAAAGGATTTGGGAAGTTTGATTTTTTTCTTGCAGAGTTGGGGTTGAGGGAAAGGTGAGGCTTTGGGGTGAGGATACATATTTTTGTTTTCAAATATATTTCATATGTTAATTGTTTGCCTGTATATGAGAGAGGTAGCCATGAAGTCTGGACAGGTAACAAAGTGAAAGCAAAGAAGAGAGAGAAAAGAAAGGTAAAATAAAACAATACAACACAGACAAAAAGGAAAGAAAAGCCGCAGACAGTGCAAAAATAGTTAATGTTATAAACGAATTAGCCTTAGCCACAAAGAGGCAAGTCTGATCATCTTACATTGATGAAGCTGACTAGGGTTCCTCATGTACAAAAGTTAATCAGTAATGTATCCTCTGAAAAGCTTTAGGAATGTGACTGTGATGTGTATGTACATGGCACACCCTTCTGTGTAGCAGATCACATTGTCCTTCCCTTTAACACATCCACATACGGGCATAAAGCCATGTCTTGGCCATTTCTCACTTCGAGATATGGTGATTTATTGGGGTCCCTGTTTTAGTAAGGACAGATATCCATGGCACCTCCTTCTCATTCAGGACCTATTTTATTGAATGTCTGCAATTATGAGATTGCAGAATATTGCCACCTGCTAGAGACTTGACTTTCATATTCGACCTTCAAATCCTCCTTGTAATTCTTCAAATCCAACTGTAGAGCAACTTGCATAGACCTGACTAGTCTAGTGGGCTACTTTTAGGAACTCTGGAGAAATAAAGAAGTAAGGTGAGTGGATACCCCATGCCCTATTTTGTATGGGGTTCCTCATAAAAGAGGGAGCCACCAAACCTGGGAACTAAGTTTGGAGGAGTCACCCTCCTGAGGCCCTGAAGGGTGACCTGTATCCCAGCTGAGAGCAGCAGGAAAGACCAAGACACAAGGGGATGCCCTGGTCAGCTTGTAGATTTAGAAATGAAGACAAAATTCTCTGCTCCCTCCTTCAGGTTAAAGCATAGATTCTCAAAGTATGGGATATTTATCACTGGTAATTTTCAATTTTAAAATACCAGAGATTTTTAGAAAAGCATTTTCTTGTACTCACCTATCCATTTATTTCAAGAAGAATGTCTTGGTGTTATGTGGCTATTTTTTACCATTTCCCTAATATGTACTAATTCATAAATTTGACAAAGAAATTGGCTTCAGGCTCAAAATCTCAAACAGTAGTATTTAGCCAATCTTTAATAATATTGTCTTGGTTAGTTTATATTTCAGATTTTATAGCAAGGGTTGATTGTTTATAGTTTATAGTAGTCACATAAATTTTATTTGAAAATAAATTTATTTAGGTTAAATATTAGCCAAAGGGAGGAACACATTAAATAATTAGCACCTTATGGCTGGCACAATGGCTCATGCCTGTAATCCCAGCACTTTGGGAGGCCAAGGAGGGCAGATTGCTTGAGCTCAGGAGTTTGAGACCTGCCTGGGCAAGCTGGTGAAACCCTATCTCTTAAAAAAAAAAAGAAGAAAAGAAAAAAAAAAGGAAAAATTAGCCAGGCATGGTGGCTCACACCTGTAGTCCCAGCTACCCTGGAGGCTGACGAGGTGGGAGGATTGATGGAACCAGGCAGTCAGAGGTTGCAGTGAGCCGAGATCGTGTCACCGCATTCCAGCCTGGGCAAAAGAGTGAGACCTTGTTTCAAAATAAATAAATAAAATAATAATAATGATTAGCAGTACAGAGAGCTCATGCATACGGGGAGGTTTATGAACAACTGAATCCTGATTATGATGCGAGGTCAGAGCAGTTGTTTTCTGTCCTGAACTGGCATCAGAATCACCTTAGGAATTTTAAATATACAGAAGCTAGGATCCCATCCTAGACCAATTAAATTAGAATCTCTAAGGAGTGGAGCCTGGACATTGATTTTTGTAAAGTTCGCCAAGTCATTTTACTGCGCAGCCAGTTTAGAGAACCACTGTGTTGGAGAATGCTGATTAAAAAAAATAATAATAATAAAAAGTAGATGTTTTCACTCCAGCACACACTCAAACACAGAGATTTGTGGCTACAAATAAATAGGCACAATGACATAGCCATATAAACACTTTACTTAAAATTTAAAAGGCTTTCTTTTTAACAGAATAACAAATTGTAATTGAAAATAGACTACCCTCCCTTGCTCTGCAGATTCAAATGCCTGGGCGTCTAAGCACATTCTACTGGGACCAAGCTCAGGTTCAGCCATTAGCTTAATTTGTCACCTTGCACAAGCCACTTGACTTCTCTGGGCACCAATTTCCATTTTTACAAAATAAAGGGAGAAAGGATGTTTGACGTGGATAATCCCTAAAGACCCTTCCAGCTATAAATCTGTACAGTTTTTTATTTCAAATGGAAATGACTAGACAGTAAGCGTTTCCTGTTTGGTTTAGCATTAATGATAATTAAAAATAGAATCATAGATGTGGTACATGAGGTTTTACTGTCTTTTTTTTTTTCTGTACTGTAGATAGATTTTGAAAACTAATTCTTCTTTCCCTGGGCTGACAGTTCAGCCAGCAAGCAACCTTTTAAAAGCCTTACTCAGAGCAAGGAAACCAACTTGAGTATGCACAGAGAAGACATGGTTGACCTAGTAATGAGGACTGTGTAAAATTGCATCGATTTTCTTTTTTGACCTCCCTTTCCATTTAACCATTTGTCAATACTGGAGAAAGAAAGCTGTAGAATGTAATTTTTCAGCAACTGGAAAAAAATACCACTTGTCCAGGAGAAGGAAGTTGGAATACGATTTTGACGTGGAATCAGAGCTTCATACAGAGTGACTTTTCTCGAGTCTTATGTTGAATATAAATCCATGCACTCAAATGAGTCTTTTGCATTCAAGTTTCCCTGAATTTTTGACTGACCTTACTCACCTTTGGCCTCCACATGTATCCTAGAATCCCTTCTTTTTCTTTTCTTTTTTTTTTTTGTTGCTATTTTCTAATCCAAATGTCTTTCAAGACAGTTTAGGGGCCACTTCTGTAAAGTATCCCATAATTATTTCAATAAAATCTTTACCCGTTGACAAGGTTAGCTGTGTACCACACACCTATCAATACCCTAGTACCTATATCATCATCTCACAATTAGTTTATTTGTCTCACTTGTGAGAATGTTAGTTCTTCAAGGTCATGGGAATGTCCTTACTCATTTTTATCTCTCCAGGAGCTGACACCATGCCTGACACACAGCACAGTTTTGGAAAATGGTAAAAGACACTGATTCCTCAAAGATAAAAATGTTCCCAAACATTATGGACTCAAAAATTGTTATTTCTACTATGGAAATAATATGTCTATCAGACAATCCACTTGTAATTTTTTTCTCAAATAATCCATACTCAATTCCAGAAGGTGGGATTGGCTACAATGTGTCACATTATGAGCCAGCACTGATCGATTGGTTATGCCTGGCTAAAGTACTGGGTTGATAAGAATTTTGAAAGTATATTTGCAGTGGCTAAGAGTGTCTTGATTCTTAGCAATATCCAACATGGGTACTGGTACGAAGATTGTCAGTAAACAGATTTTGTGCTCATTAAACCTAACTAGTTACTGGAATAGAAACAGGATTTAGTTAGCTGAGGTGTGCAGATAGCAGCTAAGCAAGCCTTTTAGAAGTAGGCCAGCAACAGAGAAAACAACCCAAAAGTATGAGTTAACATGTGGGCCTACTGTGAGTTATATATAACAATGGTCTCCTATTTGAACCAATTTTTCTCAAATGAATTTCACCATTGTGTGTGTATGTGTTCCAGTTGCGACGGTGAGAAGATGAGGCAAAGTATTTACGCTCTAGAGAGATGAATTGCTTGCAGTATGATATGACCTTTTGGAAAACTAATATGATATTTTGATGTAAACACTGATGTCAGCCAAAGCCCCCTTTTCCACTTAAGGGTCAGTGAACTTTAGATTAAGATTCCCTGTGATATGATAATTATCTCTTTATTTATCTGTCTCTTCTTTTGGAATAGGAGCTGTTCAAGATCAGAAATGATAAATCATATTCATCTTTGTTTCTCTAGCATACACAGAGATTCTATAATGTGTGTGTTTGTGTGTGAATGTATGTATAAATTTAGGCAGGTATGTAAAGATTTCCTGAATTCATGAAAGTGAATATAAAATATTATTTATATCTCTAACATCCAGAAGTCTCCCTTTTACATATTTACTTCTAGATAGGACTTAAAAGATAAATGTCTTTCTGAGTTTTGGAGATAAACTTTTCAATTTGAACCAGAACTTCTAATTTTACATAATTTTTTTTCAGTTGCTATATTGACCTACTTTAGATTAAAAAAACAACATGCAGGGCAGAAAATTCTGGTTTGGCTGCATCTAAGAATGGAAACTGCAGAAAGTGCAGAAACTGTTGCAAATACTCGTTTTTAAAAATGTGTCACTGAAAAGCAGAAATGAAATAAATACTATGCTTCACATCCCCAATACAGTCATAAACACATTATAGATAGCACATTAGGTGATAGATAGGTTGATAGTTTCATACACAGATTTTAAAAAGCAGACATTTCTGCCCTCCTACTCAGAGTGTCCCCATCTTTGCCCTATCAAATGAACATGGAAAGGTTCACTAATACCAAGTATGCAGTTCAAATACTGCTCACACTGACTGCAAACACCCTAATACCTAGCATCCAGACCAAGAAAGGGAACACTACAGACAATTCCTTCTGTGCACTAACCTTCAACAGTGACCACTATCCTGAATTCTAGCACTATACGACGATTTTTGCCTCTTTTTGTATTTCATATATGTGAAGTTGTATAGCACTTCTTCATTTGCACCTGAAGCCTTTCATTCAGGATTATATTTTTGAGGTTCATTCATATAAGCCCTTCTATGAGTAAAGGATTTATTACCCCTGCTGCTGGGAGTGTTACCAGGAGACAGCCCTCAGCTGTCAGCTCCCTTCTGAAATTGATTCAGTTGAGTAATACAACCTCACCTAAGGTCTTGGCCACTCTTCAGGGTGGCCAGCATCATGACTGATGAACTTAGAGTAGACAAAATCAGCCCTCTTGCCCCATTTCCAGAAACCTCCAACAGCCATATGCTCTTCAAAACTCTTTGCAGTGTTGATAGAATAATCTGTTGGGACTGCCTCAACTAAGTGGGCTTCCTTTTCTGTCCAATCCTGCTTCTTCCCTTACTTTACTCAAGTACCAATCCAAGCAGTACCTTTAACACCAATCCATTAAAATGCAGTTGGGTTTCTTTCATCGTCCTTGCCGTATAGTATTCCACTGTGCACATAAAATGTGATTTTTGCGTACATTCTACTGTTGATGATTATATATGAGTAGTTTCCAATTTTGATAATTATAAATAGTGCTACTATGAACACTCTAGTATATCTGTTTTGGTAAACATATGTATGAGCTTGCATTGAGTGCTTATGTAAGAGTGGGATTGCTGGGCTTTTGAATTTGTATATTTCCAGTTATTGAATATGTTTACGTTCTTGTTTAGTACTGAGACTATTATTTTAAATGAGTCTTTTTCTTACCAAGAGGAATGAGGGAGATATATTATTCAACTGGGAATGGGTTATTTCAGGTTGAAATATAAATATATGATTATAATATTATCTGTGTAATACATAATATTATCTGTGGTCCCCTAAGGAAGCCTTTCTTTCCTAGGGGACCACAGAGAATATTCAGAGAGTGAGGTGG
This sequence comes from Homo sapiens, assembly GCF_000001405.40. Taxonomy (NCBI): domain Eukaryota; kingdom Metazoa; phylum Chordata; class Mammalia; order Primates; family Hominidae; genus Homo; species Homo sapiens. The sequence goes on from NC_000016.10 coordinate 63,369,271, forward strand.
AGAAGAAAGAATGGTCTTTACTTTGGGGATAAGAGTAAGTAGCTGCTCAGGGAGAATGAGGTGGAGGAGACGATCTAGAAATCTGGAGCCAAACTCTGAAGTGTATTCAACATAGGATCTATCTCTTAGAAACTGTCAGGAAAAGAACGGATATAGTTGAGTGCATAGTTAACTTTTGGGATTTCAGGATATTTAAGCTATATATATATATATATATTTTTTTTTTTTTTTTTTTTTTTTTTTTTGAGAGGTAGTCTCCCTGTCGCTCAGGCTGGAGTGCAGTGGTGCGATCTCGGCTCACTGCAGGCTCTGCCCCCCGGGTTCACATCATTCTCCTGCCTCAGCCTCCTGAGTAGCTGGGACTACAGGCGCCCACCACCTCGCCCGGCTAATTTTTTGTATTTTTAGTAGAGACGGGTTTCACCGTGTTAGCCAGGATGGTCTCGATCTCCTGACCCCGTGATCCATCGCCTCGGCCTCCCAAAGTGCTGAGATTACAGGCGTGAGCCACCGCTCCCAGCCTGAAAATATACTTCTGCAGTTGAAAAGCTCAATTCTGTGTAGAAAGTTAAACTGATATTGTTTTACCTTGGACCACACTCAGAAGAAAAAAAAAAAAAACTGTTCCTATGATTAACATATTATCTATCTGGTTCAGTTTCCTAAGGATTAACTGATAAAGACTAGTTCATAAAATTGCTACAATTACTTTTTAAGATTTTATGGAATTTATTTTTTAGAGTTGTCTTAAATTCACAGAAAAACTGGGCAGAAAGTATGAGATGGCCCATATACTCACTCCATACCCCCCAACCCCGCCAGACATTTCCTTCCCCCACTATCAACATCTCTCAGCGAAGGGGTACATGTGTTACAAATGAACTCACTGACACATCGTTATCACCTTAAGTCCATAGCAAATATTAAGGATCATTCCTAGTGTTGTACCTACTATGGGTCTGGACAAATTTATAATGATGTGTATTCACCATTATAGTCACATACAGAGTAGTTTTCACTGCTGTAAAAATTCTGTGTTCCTCCTGTTTATCCCTCCCTCCCCATAATCCCTGGCAACCACTGATCTTAGTTTTGCCTTTTCCAGAATGTCATCTAGTTGGAATATGGTATATAACCTTTTCAGACTGGCTTTTTTCACTTAGTAATATGCATTTAAGGTTTCTGAGTATCTTTTCATGGCTTGATAACTCACTTCTTTTTGGCTCTGAATAATATTCCATTGTCTGGATGTACCACAATTTATTTATCCATGAACCTACGGAAGCACATCTTGTTTTTTTTCTAAGTTTTGGTAATGATGAACTGAGCTTTTATAAACATCTGTGTGCAGGTTTTGGTGTGGACATATTTTCAACTCCTTTGGGTCAATATCAAGGAGTGCACTTTCTGGATTGCATGGTAATAGTACGTTTAGGTCTCTATGAAACTGCCAAACTGTCTTCCAAAGTAGAAGATGTGTTGTAACATTTTGCATTCCCACCAGCAATGAGTGAGAGTTCTTCTTCCTCCATATCATTAGCATTTTGTGCATCTTTAGCATTTTATGTCGGTGTTCTGGATTTGGGCCATTGGAATAGGTGTGTGGTGATAATTCATGTGGCTTACGTTTACATTTCCCTACACACAAATGATGTAAAGCTGCTTTTTATATGCTAATTTTTTACCTGCATAGTTTCTTTGGTCAGCTGTCTGTTAAGGTCTTTGGCCCAACATTTTTTTTTTTTTTTTTTTTTTTTTTGAGACAGTGTCTCACTATGACTCCCAGGCTGGAGTGCAGTTGAGCCATCCTGGCTCACTGCAACCTCTGCCTCCTGGGTTAAAGCAATTCTTGTGCCTCAGACTTTCGAGTAGATGGGACTACAGGTATCCGCCACCACGCCCAGCTAATGCAACACTATTTTTTTAAGTTTCTCATATAGATTTGTTCTATCAAAAATATGACTTTTATCTCTTATAGAGAGTTTATGTATCTTGGTAGAATATTTCTTTTGTTCTACATTAGTTACATTCTTCTGTAATTATCTCTGTGCTCTCCATAAAGATCATTGCTTGTTTATTCCTTTAAAATAAGATTCGAGTCCACGTGGATAAATGATCATTAGGAAACACTGGCAATTCTGATGTTTCAAATAAGACATGGCCTGTATTTTTAAGGTAAATATGTTCCACATTCTTTCTTTCTTGAGTTTCTATTGCAGTGGTTAACACTGAGTGTCAACTTGATTGGATTGAGGGACACAAAGTACTAATCCTGGGTGTGTCTGTGTGAGTGTTGCCTAAACAGATTAACTTTTGAGCCAGTGGGCTGGGGAAGGCAGATCCATCCTTAATCTGGTGGGCACAATCTAATCAGCTTCCAGGGAATATAAAGCAGGCAGTAGAATGTGAAAAGGAGTAAAGGGCCTACCCTCCCAGCCTATATCTTTCTCTCGTGCTGGATGTTTCCTGCCCTCAAACATCAGACTATAAGTTCTTCAGTTTAGGAACATGGACTGGCTCTCCTTGCTCCTCAGCTTGCAGACAGCCTGTTGTGGGGCCTTGTGAGTTAATACTTAATAAACTCCTCTAGATAGATAGATAGATGATAGATAGATAGATAGATAGATAGGTAGATAGAGATAGGTAGATAGATAGATATAGCCTGTTAGTTCTGTCCCTCTAAGAGAACCCTAATACACTATACTTCATTAAGTAGTACCAGTTTGAAACTAATTTAATAAATAAAATTTACTATTTTATTTGTGTTTATAGCATTTTCTACCCTCTTCTCCCTTAGGTAACCATATTTTAACTGTTTGTCATTTATCCTTCCATAGTTTTTACTATAATCATACATGTACAAATATAGTTTATTACCATTGCCTTATTTTGCATTATAAGGACCAGAATGGCTAAATCAGAAGCCATCCTAATACTCTCTCTCTCTCTCTCTCTCACACACACACACACACACACACATACACACTTTTGCATTTCTTTTTCATCAGTAAGATTTACATGTCTATAAAAATTCAGAAAACTTAAGCAGATTCTTAGATATTTTTCTATTTAATGATGAGATGTATGTTCTCTCTCCTTGAATCTGGGTGGGCATGTCACTGCTTCAGTCAAAAAAAAGTAGGGTTAAATGAGTTCCACTCGTAGGTTATATAATGTCATGCAGCTTTTACCTTATTTACTTTAACACTTGGTCTTGGAGATTTGACAAGCTGCCATGCAGGAAGTCCAACTACTTTGAGACTGCCGTGCTAAAGAGGCAACAACTTTGTGGAAAATGAAATTAAAATGTAAACTTTTAAAAACAGAAACTTTATTTCTCAACATAAGCTCCATCAAGTTCACAACACTTTTGTAAGCAAAGATACTAGCCATTTCGTCAACCACTAAAGAACTGAAGGTCTGGGAATTTATCCATGCAGTTTTGTTTTGTTTTTTTAAAATTACTAAGAAAAATGTGTGCCCTTTACAGATTTTTGTAAAGATTAGTAAACAAAAAGAAATCAGCAGGAGCCAAATCAGGACTGTCACATGGATGCCTCATGATTTACAATCAAAACTCTCACACAATTGTCTTTGTTGATGGGAGAGGTGAGCAGAGGCATAGTCATAGAGAAGGACCATCTGGTGAAGCTTTTCTGCTAAATATTTGCCTTTCTCTAAATACTCTTTATTATGGACAGATGTTATCATTCTTAGGCCCTCCAGAAAGCTAACAAGTAAAATTCCTTGAGCATCCCAAGAAACTCTTGCCATGACCTTTGCTCCTGACTGGTCTGGTTTGCTTTGCATTTCTTTTTCATCAGTAAGATTTACATGTCTATAAAAATTCAGAAAACTGTTTCCTGTTACAATTACTCAAAGAAATGCTTCAAAATCTTGTTCTCACTTGTTTAAAATGTCCATTGAAAGCTCTTCTCTTGTCTGCAGCTGATCTGCGTGCAATAGTTTTTGCATTTGAGTGGAAAGGTTTACAAATTGATAACTCATTTTAAGAAGAAAAACAAGACAGTGTTGAAGATGAAACCCACAGTGGAAAACCATCCATATCAATTTGTGAACAAAAATATTTATCTCGTTCATGCCCTATTGAAGAGGACTGATGAGCAATAGCACAAATAACAGTCAACACCATAGACATCTCATCTGGTTCAGCTTACACAATTCTGACTGAAAAATTAAAGTTATCAGTTTGTAAACTGCTCATTTATTTGAGATCTTCCCATAAACTTTTCATAAAGCGTCAATGATTTTTACCAATCTTCCACCCAAGCTTCACCATAATTTTGCTGTTTGCTTTTGCTATAATATCAGCAGAATTTCATATTACTTTGATAAAGGCCCTTTTCAAACTGATGTCTTATCTTTCTTAGTGCCTCAAATTAGACCTTGTTTAGACGTGTTATAAAAAGTCAGTATTAACTTATTTTGATTCCAATTATTTTTAAATATATGTATCTAATTTTTAATAATGAGTATTTTCATAAACTTTTTGAAAACTACCCATAGTTGTCGAAAATTTTTTCAGCAGACCAGGTTTGTTCTGGTCAAGAGTATTGCCTGAGTCCATCATTTAACCATTACAACTCAGGGACCAGACATATAAGTAAAGAAACCACCATGAAAATGCACTCACAGTCCCTAGTCTTCCAAATCCCTAGTGGATGAATCACCTTGAGTCATGTAAAGATTTTCTGAAACAGAAAATTTGACATTACATCCTTGCCAATTTCCAAACTCACAGCAACCATGAAAAGAATAAAAAAATTTTAATCATCTCTCATATTTGAGGGTTTTTTTTTGTAGAACAACATCCTATTTCCATTATCATATTATGATATTTGCACAAACTTTAATTCCATGGCTTTCTAGGGATCTTCTCTTAGAATAAAAGTCCACATGAAGATACACAATTAACATCAAAAAAGAAAACTGTAGATCAATATCTCAGATTAATATTGATGCAAAAATTCTCACAAAAATATTAACAAACTGAATTCAACAATGCACTAGAAAAATTATTCAACACCAACAAGTGGGATTTATCCCAGGGATGTAAGAATGGTTCAACATACACAAATCAATCAATGTGATACATCATCATATCCATGAAATGAAGGAAAAATCACATGATCATTTCAATTGATGCTGAAAAGCATTTGATACAATTCCAAATCTCTTCATTTTAAAAACCCTCAAAAAACTAGGTATAGAATGAACATACCTCAACATAATAAAAGCCATATACAATAGTCCCACAGCTAGCATCCTACTGAATGGGAAAAACTGAAAGCCTTTCCTCTAAGATCTGGAACAACAAGGATGCCAACTTTAACCATTGTCATTCCACATGGTAGTGGAAGCCCTAGCTAGAACAATCAGACAAGAGAAAGAAATAAAAGGCATCCAAATCGTAATGGAAGAAGTCAAATTAACCTTGTTGCAGACGATATAATCTTACATTTGGAATAACATAATGACTCCACAAAACTATTAGAACTGATAAATTCAGTTAAATTTCAGGATACAAAATCAACATACAAAAATCAGTGGCATTACTATATGTCAAGAGTGGACAGTATGAAAAAGAAAAAACGGAATCCCATTTACAATAGCCACACATAAATTAAATACCTAGAAATTAACTGAACCAAAGAAGTGAAAGATGTCCGTAATAAAAACTGTAAAACACTGATGAAAGAAATTGAAGAGGACACCACAAATGGAAAAATATTCCACATTAATGGATTGGAAGAATCAAAAGTGTTAAAGTGTCTATACTATCCAAAGCAATCTACAGATTCAATACAATTTTTATTAAAATACCATGACATTCTTCTCAGAAATAGAAAAACATATCCTAAAATTGATATGGAACCAGAAAAGACCCAGAGTAATCAAAATTATCCTAAGCAAAAGAACAAAACTGGAAGACTCATATTACCTGACTTCAAATTATACTACAGAACTATAGTAAAAAAACAGCATGGTACTCATATAAACACAGACACATAGACCAATGGAACATATAGAGAACCTAGAAACCAATCCACATGCTTGCTCTTAACCCATTTTCAACAGTTTCCAAGAACATGCATTGGATGAAAAGCAGTTTCTTCAATAAATGGTGCTGGGGAAACTGGATATCCATATGCAGAAGAATAAAACTAGACCCCTACCTCTCACCAAATACAAAAATCAAATCAAAGTGGAATGAAGACTTAAATATAAGCCCTCAAACCATTAAACTACTACAAGAAAACTTTAGGGAAAATCTCTAAGACATTGGTCTGGTCAAAAATTTCTTGAGCAATACCCCACAAGCATAGGCAACCAATGTAAGAATGGACAAATGGGATCATATCAAGTTAAGAAGTTTGTTCACAGCAAAGGAAACAATCAACAAAGTGAAGACAACCCACAGAGTGGGGGAAAACATTTTCAAACTACCCATTTGGCAAGGGATTAATAACCAGAATATATAAGGAGCATAAATAACTCTATAGGAAAGAATATATAATGATATCATCAAAAAATGGGCAAAATTTTGAATAGCTGTTTCTCAAAAGAAGATATACACATGGAAAACAGGGACATGTAAATTTTCTTAACATCAGTTATCATCAGAGAAATACAAATCAAAACTACAATGAGGTATTACCTCACCCCAGTTAAAATGGCTTATATCCAAAAGATGGACAATAACAAATACTGGTGAAAATGTGGAGAAAATGGTACCCTTGTACATTGTTGGTGGGAATGTAAATTAGTACATCTACTATGGAGAGCAGTTTGGATGTTTCTCAAAAAAACAAACAAACAAACAAACAAAAATTGAGCCACTATATCATCCAGCAATTGCACTGCTGGGTATATACCCAAAAGAAAGGAAATCAGTATATTGAAGACATATCTGCACTCCTGTGTTTGTTGCAGCACTGTTCACAGTAGCTGACTCAGAAGCAATTTAAATGTCTATCAACAGATTAATGGATAAAGAAAATGTAGTACATATACACAATGAAGTGCTATTCAGCCAGAAAAAAAAGAATGAGATCATCTCGTTTGCAACAACATGGATGGAACTGGAGGTCATTCTGTTAAGTGAAATAAGCCAGGCACATAAAGAGAAATCCCACATGTTCTTACTTACTACGGACATAGTAGGTGGAAGGATTGTTACCAGAGGCTAGAAAGTGTAGTAGGGGTTTGAAGGGAGGTGAGGATAGTTAATGAGTACAAAAATGTAATTTTAAAAAATGAATAAGACCTACTATTTAATAGTAGTACATCAGGGTGAATATAATCAATTGCAACTTAATTGTACATTTTAAAATAACTAAAAGAGTAGAATTGGATTGTTTGTAACACACAGGAAAAATTATTGATGTATACATTATTATCTATGATGTGATTATTACATATTGTATTAGTGTATCAAAACATCTTATGTACCTGATAAATATATATACCTACTATGCATCCACAGAATTAAAAATAAAACAATTTTAAAAAGATATACAATTGACAAATCTTTGACACAATTATTAAACTATAAAGCCTAATCCAAATCTCCTTCTAATATTTCCCAAATACAAACAATAGATCCTAAAGCATTTCTCACTGCTAGAAGAAGCAGAGATAAAAAAAAAATCATCAGTGTTCCAATCTGCTGGAAAGTATGGCCTAATAAGTATTGTGAAATCAAATTTGATGCCCTTTGATTTGTAATTCTCGTCCTTAGTGAGGAGATAACAGAAAAGGACTATTTGACAAAAATCTAGTCACAAAAGACAAAAATGAAGAGCCTATAACAGCATAAAATAGACTAAGGAGAATTGGGGAGAAAGGCCTGCCAACGGCCCTAAAAATAATGAATTTAGGATTGGGTTCCTGGAACTGTCATACGCTGGTATAAATTCAGAGTGCTTAAAGGATGGAACTATAGTGCAGGGTGATTCATCAAATGACAGAGTTGAAGGAGAATATCTTTAAATTTCCTTCTAATGCCATATATCTGTGAATCTAGTTTTGTGTCCTCAAGTTCATAGGATGATCTGTCTACAACAATACAGGATCCAGTATGGGATATGTTTCTAACAACTATGTGGAGTGCCATGTTTCATACGTAAGTGGAAACACAGCTGAGAGTATTTTATCAAATTTTTTTCCAGTTTGGTTCTCACAGCATATAGATACTGTGGAGACATTTCAAATGTTGGTGTTATTTCTTAACTTCCCTTGATTTGTGTCATTCCCTGTGCTTACATGCAAAGAGGCCAGAGTGTCAATAACATGTCTTATCTTTAGAAGTCATTGTATATCATATCCCAGCCAGTGTAGTATGGGATTTATGAATCATTCTTCTTGGTGGTATATTTTAATGGTATCAGTAATTGCTGATAATCCATTAGCATGTGAGCACTTAAGACAATAATTAACCTATCATTCTTACACTAACATCACGTGTGGTTAGCATCTTTATCTGGTGACATTTCCATCTGGTAAAAGTAGAGAGAATTTAAACTGAAGTCAAAGAGATTATAAACTGAAATCAATTTCTTTTATTTGGGATGCTGATATATCAGAGAGCTTGAAATGTGAAGGCAATACTTTTTTAATTTAAAATTTACTTTGATGTTAAAAAATGAGTTTAGCTTCAAAGTTTATTTTAGGTTAAGCTTGGAACACAGGTAAATGGTAAACCTCTGCTGAATCAGACACACTGACTTCCCACATAGAAACCATTTGATAAAGTAATCTGCTTGTTGAGCCAAAGATAAAATTCACACCAAGAAGCCTAAATAAATAATGCCACATATGTAATATGCATTCCAGAAATTGAACTGCTTTATTATCAACTTTTAATGTTTAATAAGCAACAAAGTCTGAATGGCATATTTGAGAAAAAAATTCAATGTGGAATTAACAGAGCTGGAACAAATTCCTAGACACTACCTAAGTGTCTTGACAAAACCATCTAATCCTTCTGAGTTGACTCTTCTATATAATGAAGAAAATAATATATATCAATTTAACAACTGTAAATTTCTAATTTATAAAAAGTTGTAAAGCTGTCTCCTACAGAATTTTAGGATTAACCTGTTAACTATAGAAATAAAATAAGGCAGTAGTTCGACAGTGTTTTATCCTATATCCTAAGAAAGGTTTGAAAATGAATAGGGACCAGAACCATCATCTGTTAGCAACAGAGTACATTTCCCAAATAGAATCCAATCCAGAAGTTTTGCATTGCTTCATGTAATATAATGGAATATATAAATTCTCTGTCTGCATGATTACAGAAAGAAGCTATTTGCTGAAGCTTTATCAGAATAAGGTGACTCTGAAGAAGATTAAATTGTAAAATTATTCACTTACAAGATAAAATTTTTGGTTAAAAAATGGTGTCCAAGTAAATGACAGAACCTGGATGCATATTCAAATAAACTTATCGGCCTCTTCCAAGTTACATCAGCTTGGACAACTGAGGAGTGAGGCCACTTGGTAAAGTTACCTGAAAACAACTGGATAATCTGAGGTGAAATACTCATGGAAGAGAGGAAATATAAAAATCATGGGCTTTGGAATCATTCAAATCTTTGCATATATTCTGACTCCGTAGTTGATTAAATGTGTGAGTTTGGACATCCAACTGATCCCTCTGAGCTTGTGTCTTCATTTATAAATTGAAAGTCTAGTTTTCATCAAACATACCAGATCCTATGGATATCATCATTAATTCCTGTCCCAAGACATATCAAAATTTTCATCCAAAAAATCACATTTTGGAAGACTTATGCTAAAACATTTTGATGCTAAAAACCAAAATTTATCTTTATTGCTTGTTACATATGCAATGTTTTATCTTTTTATTAATATGTTTAATATTTTTTAAAGTAATGGCAATTTATGAGTATTTTTATTTTTTAATTTTTATTAATTAATTAATTTTTGAGACAAGGTCTTGCTCTCTCTCCCAGGCTGGAGTGCAGTGACAGGATTATGGCTCATTGCAGCCTCAACCTCCCAGGCTCAAGAGATTCTCCCACCTCAGCCTTCCAAGTAGATGAAACCACAGGTACACACCACCATGTTCAGCTAGTTTTTATTTATTTATTTATTTTGTTTTGTTTTGTTTTTGTAGAGGCGGGGTCTCCCTGTGTTGCCCAGGCTGATCTCGAACTCCTGGGTTCAAATGATCCTCCTGCCAATGAGTACAAATTTAAAAGTTTAAAAAGCATGAACCAGAATAGAAGTGAAGGTTTCTCTCTTACCCAAAGCAAACATCATTAAAAAGTTTCTTGACAATCCTCCTTCAAAAAAGAATCACAGTCCAGTGTATACATGTATATTTTATTTACATAAATAACAATGTATAATGTACACTGTTATGCATCTTACTTTTGATATAAAATGCTTAGAAATAACTCTCTTCATCAGGATAGTTTGGATAGTATCAGTAATTATTTGCACAATGTTTAATTGGATCTCTTGATTTAGATATTTTGAAAACAGTGGAAACCATTAAGAATATATTTAATCAAAACAAGCAGGAGTTGATACTCAATATTCTTGATTTACTCAAAATTATGGTGGAAAGTAGATTCTCTGCATCTATTGTTTAATAAAGGACTTCTGGTTAAGGAAGCACTGTGAGGTGAATAGCACAATAAACTGAATTCAAACCACATCTCAGTCACTTCCTTATCTTGTATGTTGAGAAGATATTATACCTCCCCAGGCCTCAGTTTTCCCATATTTAAAAAAAATTGAGAAGACCTACTCAATATTTGCTTTCAAAACATGCTACAGAGTTGGATAATATATTAGCAAACCACGTATCTGGTAAAGGTCTAATGTCTAGAATATACAAAGAATTCTCCAAATGGAGTAGTAAAATAAATAAATAATTCAATTCAAAAAATGGGCAAACGTTATCAAAATTCATTTCACTGAAGAGGAGGCATAGAAGGGAAATAATCAAATGAAAATATTTTTAGTATCATCAGCTATTTGGGACATGAAAATCAAAATCACAAAAGTTATCACTACATTCTTACCAGAATAGCTAAAATGAAAACAAAAATATTTTTAAGTGGCAACCCAAAATGCCAATGAACATGAAGAGAAATTGGACCATTCATATATTGTTGGTGGAAATGTAAAATGATGTAGCCACTCTGGGTAAGTATTTGAAAGTTTCTTTTTAACAGTTAATATGCACCTACCATGTGACCCAACAATTGCACTAATGGGCATTTATGCCAGAGAAATAAACAAGTATGCTCACATCAAAGTGTTTATATGAATGTTTATACATTATCAGCTTTATTCATAATGGCATAGACATGGAAATGACTGAAGTTCTTCAATAAGCGAATGAGTAAATAAACTCTGATCATACCACAGAACACTAGTCAGTGATAAAAAGATACAAACACTATTGATACACTCAGCAGCCTGGATGACCTCAAGTAATTATGCTAAGTGGAAAAGGCCAAATCTCAAACCTACTCTGTGATTCCATTTATGTAACATCTACAAATGACAAAAATACAGAATAAAAGAAAAGATTCATGGTTGCTGGAGTTAAATGGGGGAGGGAGGGTAGGAGGAAGTGGGTGTGGCTGGAAGAGGACACATACAGCATCCTTGTGCTGATGGAACTATTCTGTATCTTGACTCTATCAGTGTCAATATGCTAGTGGTGGTATTGTACTGTACAGTTGCAACCTGTTGCCATTGGTGAAAAGTGGATAACAGCAACGTGGCTTCCTTAGGATCTTTGTGTATTATATTTGACATGTGATAAAATTACCTCAAAATAAAAAGATTAATAGTAATAGCAAAAGCGATTTTGTTGCACTGTCTCCCATATTCTTTATTTTTATTTTATTTTATTTATTTTATGTTTTTTGAGACAGAGTTGCCCTCTCTCTCAGGCTGGAGTGCAATGCATGATCTCAGTTCACTGCAACCTCAGCCTCCTGGGTTCAAGCGATTTTCCTGCCTCAGCCTCCTGAGTAGCTGGGATTACAGGCGCATGTCAGCATGCCCGGCTAATTTTTATATTTTTAGTAGAGACATGGTTTCATCATGTTGGCCAGGCTGCTCTCAAACTCCTGACCTCAGGTGATCCACCCTCCTCGGCCTCCCAAAGTGCTGGGATTACAGGCATGAGCCACCATGCCCAGCCTTCATATTTGTTACTCCATTGTTTTTTGATGAGAAATCTATAGTATACAAATCATTGTTTCCTTATATAAAATATCTTTCTTTTCTCTGGCTGTTTCAATACTTTTTCCCTTAATAGTTTGGTTTTCAGCAGTTTTGTTATGATATGTGTAAGCGTGGTTTACTTTACATTTACTTCTACCCTACTAGTCACTTTTCCAGCTGCCTGCCCTCCATCATCAACTAATCTGCCTGCTTTTGTATTTTTCTCAGAGTCCTTAGGTATTTTATTGGTATATTGCTCGGTATTTGTGGTTGGAATCAGAATTGTTTTGAAGGGGAACTGAATACTATTCTGATAAAAGATGTTTGAACTGTTATTTTAATATTTTTTTCCCCAAAGTCATGTTATAATAATATTCTAATTAACCTAATTCAATATATACATGTTTCTGTAATGGGCAAAAGTTACATTCTTATCAGAATGGCTATATCACATATATCAATTATATATAAAATGTTTACATAAAGCTTTATATATAATACACAATATATAATTATATATGTATAAATATTTATGTAAATATATATGTATACTTATATAAATATAAAAATTATTTATGTAACTATATCCATTCCTTCTCTTCATGTACCTTACACAATAATATGCAAATAAAAGAATATAGTTCAGAAGAGTATGTGGAACTGAATTTAATTGGGAATTTTTATAATAATTATCTATTTTACTCAACTAGGGAAGAGTATGTGGAACTGAATTTAATTGGGAAATTTTATAATAATTATCTATTTTACTCAACTAGGGAAGAGTAATAGCAAGTATTTCAGACTCATTTTCTCTAGAAAATCTTATTTGCCAAACCCTTTTTTTTTTTTTTTTTTTTGAGATGGAGTCTCACTTTTGTTGCCCAGGCTGGAGTGCAATGGCGCGATCTTGGCTCACTGCAAACTCCACTTCCCAAGTTCAAGTGATTCTCCTGCCTCAGCCTCCCAAGTAGCTGGGATTACAGGCGCCTGCCACCACACCTGGCTAATTTTTTTGTATTTTTAGTAGAGATGGGGTTTCATCATATTGACAAGGTTGGTCTCGAACTGCTGACCTCAGGTAATCTGCCTGCCTTGGCCTCCCAAAATGCTGAGGTTACAGGCATGAGCCTCCATGCCTGGCTGCCAAACCCTATTTTTTAAGACCATCACAAGACTAAAGATTCTAATAATCTTTAATCAGTCTTTATTGAAATTACAAAGAGGGACTTTATTTGTGACTTTTTGGCTTTGAGGCATAGGAACTGTATGAATATAAGAAAATTATTTATTCCTTGCTGGGAATAAACAGCATTATCAGATGATGTTTAGGTGACCCCAAGCACCCAGAAAGCAACAACACATGTGGTTCCTTTCAAGGTCATTCCAAAGCTCTGCTTTCTGTCATTTGCCATCCAATATTCCCTAGTTCCTCTTTGCACCTCATTATGGTGTTTGTAAGTTCAGAGAAGCTGATTTTGCTTACCGAAGAAGAGAAGAACAGACCATAGCCAATCGTCTGATCAGAGCATAAACAAAGTCTCCTAATTGACTGATCGAAAACTACTATGGCTGTGTTATTGAAGTCTCAAACGTAGACTTGGTAATACAGCACAGCAGTGCTTGCACTTTCTCACTGCCTCTGAATTTTTTAAGAACTATCTTCACCTTGCAAGATTTGCTACACATCCCTGGCAGGCCTCTCTCTTCCGTGCCCCTGTGGCTTTGCAGCAAGTTGTCCTTTCTATGTGAACTTCCTTTACCACCTTTCACCATCTCTGAGATTTGCCTTTGTATAACTAGTATAACTACTAATTTTCGAGTGAGCAAATCCAGTTTTAAACGTTTCTCCTAAAGTAGTTATTAGATAAATACACCAGGATATGTGATAATGCGTGTGTGAGAAAATGTTCACTGTGACAATGTTTAAAACACATTGTATAATGTATAATGACAATGTATAAAAAACCATTTGTATAACTACTCTGATAACTAGTATTGCATATCAGTGCAAACTGCATAGATCTAAAGAATAGCTAATATTATTCCACCACGGTTTATTTCAGTTGTTGAATTCAACAGAACTTTTCTGAATAACTACCATAACCAGGCACTATGACAGTTTCTATAGCTATGACTCCGTCATTTATATATTCTACAAATATACATTTAGTGCCTACTATGTGCCAAGAAAACTTCTAGGTTCTAGGAACATGGCAGAGAACAGAGAGACAATCACCCTGCTAACATGAAGCAAACATTTTCAAAAGGTAGATACAAAACATATGAGCCAAATTAAAATATTACAGTAGCTGGTAATACATGCACTGAAGAAATGAAAAAGGTAAGGCAACAGTATTTATCTCTTAAAGAGCTCACAATCCAATGGATAAATAGATTTAATAAAATGAAATACCAAGAAGTAAGGCAAGTGTTATTGGAAAGTAACTATAGGATAATACAAAATAGCAGATGAGATGACCTACAGACTAATTATGGAGTGAAAAGTGTGTGCAAGAGATTAGCTGGCTTATGAAGATGTGAAAATGTAGAACTGGGAGAAATGAGAGGGGAGAGCCACTCAGCCTGTGAGACTAGCCTAGGAAAGGTCCTAGCAGTATCCCTCTGCATGGAAAAACAGTATCAGCACAATCCTAATAAAAAAGCATTATTCATGAGATGAGGTATAGCACCTCTGCAAATCAATGATATGAACATTTTTTGGTAGGATTGGCTTAATTTTCATGATAATTTATTGTAACCTGCCCTACACTGAACATGTAAACTGCTGAACATCTAAACCTGGGACTTATAAATTGTTTCCATTTGTTTCTCTATTTATTAAACCTTACTTCAATCTGGGGGATATGGATTCTCTTTCATTTTGAACATGTCTCAATCTAGCTCAGGGCCTTCATGTGAGAATTTCTTTTGCCACAAGAATTTATCTAAATGCTCATTGCTATTTGTAATGTATACAATTTTGTAAACATATCTAGATAAGCCATATGTTTTCATTTCTATATCTTCAAAGCTAGAATGAACACTGTTATCACTTAGAATGCATAAAATGCTGCACATCATTCATTGTTTACTCCAACCTTATGTATCATTATTCAAATTGAACTAATGAAGGCACAGGCTCAGAGAAAATAATCACAGTCATCATTATAGGAATAACAGCTACTGTTTACGGAATGATTAGTACATATCATTCACTCTTCTGGGTACTTCATAAATATCATCTCACTTCATGCTTACTACAATCATATCAGGCAAATGTTATTATATCTATTTTATAGATGCGAGTGCTGAGTATGTAACTTGTGCAGGGATGTAGAGCTAGCAAACAGTGGAGGGCAGCATGCAACCCAAGTTTCTCTAGCTCCAAAAGCCATACCTTTTCCAGTACAAAATAGTACCTTCCTGATGCTGCAAGAACAAAGGGACGGATGACATGATTGCATGTGTCTTTATATCAATGCCAGTTCTCACATATATAAAGTACAGGGACAATACTCCATCCTCTATAAAGTAATTATGCTAAGTCTTCAACGTCAAGAGTACAAAGTGTGGGGGGCTGGTTGGACAACACTATCATGCCTCTATCTTCATAGATTTATCATTGACTTGTAATCATGTTCTGGTTGTTGCTATCATGACCTATTATGTCTGGGAGATTCTGTGTTTCCGTTTTTCTCTTTCTCTCTCATCTTTTCTTGTCTCTGACCCAGACCTTTCTACTCAGACAGGTTACATGTGATAGATCAGAGCATAAAGGTAAAATCTGAAACATACAGGATAATAAAAGAATGATGGACAGCTTTTAGCCAAGGTTCTGTTCTGTCCTCTCAGTTATAGATAATGACTTTGCCTGAGAAAAACAATAAGAGAGTCCCTCTTCAACCAAACACACAGAAAAAAGGAGGTTTGTTTTTTTTTTTTGTATTTTTTTCAGTCTGCAGTCACAACTTAGTGAGTGGACTAGTTTCTATGTAGTGTAATTATTACCAAAGATGATTTTACTCTTCAGTTATTTTCTTTCCTTTTTCATTATATTTCATCTTATGAGACTTAAATTCAATAAATTAATGGAAAATCTCTTACCACCAACTTTCTATTAAACACCCAGCTAATAGTAACTACAACATCCAGGAAAATCATCAAGTAATAAAAACAATGTTTTCATTAGCGCATGTAATAAATATTGGAATATAGGAACAATGAATGGATGAATAAAGGAAAGAATGCATTGATGGCTAAATGGATGAATAGCAACTTACTTGGCAGTCAGAAATACTGAGGAAGTCACTGCTGCTGAATTGAAACTCATTCCTGACACGTATGCACCCTATCCAACCACCTGGGTCACATCTCTGTGCCAAGAGCCAGCCACAGGTGGTGCTGGCTTTCTTGTATCATCTTTCTAAATGCTTCCTCATCTGCCATCGCCTGTGCTTGCTCCTGGTATGAGCAGTCTCACCCTCTGGCTGTGATCATTTGCTTCTGGACATGCTGTTTTTCTGCTTGTCAAGTAGACCGACATTACTATGCTTGCATAAAATGAAAAATCAGCACTTTGAGAAGCCATTTTTTGCCCCTAAAATGAGTTTATTACGGGTTTATTTTTCATTGCCTATCAAACAGATGTTGCCTGCTCTCGGAGGAATTTTCTGCGCTTCCCAGTCACTCTGGCTGGGTGGGTTGCCAGATGCTCCAGCACTCTGCAGAGCTGCTCACGAATGCCAGGGAGGTGAGCAGATCTGCCTCAGCCATGAGAATGGAAATCAAAGTGTTGCTGTGCATGGTGGGACAGGGGGTGGCTGCTGCTTCAAAATGGGAAAATGCAAACAAGTATGGAACAGATGCAGACAAGTTCCAACTGCTGTGGAAGCAGCCTGATTCAGTAGAAAGAGCATCAGATTTGGAATCAGACCGAGCTGGGTTGAAATCCCAAATTTGCCACTTTCAGGCTCTGTGAATTGAACTCTTTGCCTCAACTCTAAATCGTAGATTTTAACACTCATATTATAGAGTTGCTATACGGACTAAATATGTCCCTAGCGTATAATAGATGATCAGTAAATAGTAGCTGATCCACTACTTTCTTAACCAATGTTAAGCTGAATGATTGGAGGAAGCCATTTTATAATCACGTTTGTTAATAATATATCTCAGATATATCTATCATCTATCTATCTATGTATCAATCTGTGTATCTATCTAACCTGTCTATCTACCTACAGATCTGTATCTACCTACATACCTACCTATCTGTAAAATTCCATAGTTATTTAAAACGGTTAAATTTTATGTATGCACCATAATTAATATCAATTTTCAATTAATCAATTAGGTTTTCGGTTTTTTTTAAACATTGTTAGAGTGAACATTTTCTCACACACGCATGCTCACATATCCTGGTGTATTTATCTAATAACTACTTTAGGAGAAATGTTTAAAACTGGATTTGCTCACTCCAAAATTTGTAACTTTACACTGTGTTTCATATAGCCATTTATTTTTCTAAAATATGTATTCATTTGCATTCTCACCAACCATATCTGAAAACTATTTTCCCGCATTCTAGTAACCACTGGATATTGACAATAATTTTAAATACATCTCCACATAATTTTATTAGGTGCAAGAATAAATACCTTTCATGTACTCATTGGTGGTTTATCTCATTTCCTTTGTGAATTGCCTCCAAAAAAGTTTGCAAGTGCAACACCTTTTCTTTTGGTTTACAAAGGGTGAGGAGGTTTCAGAACTAAGTAGGGAAGATGACAGCTGTGGCAGAGAAAAGTTACTGCCCACCAAAAAACTATGTGAAACTATGTTTCCCCACCTCCCTTGTAACTTCATGGACTTTGAATGAGAAATAATCACACTGTGTTAAGCAACTGAGATAAGTGGCAGCTAGAATTAATTATCCTCATTTAAACCAGTGTCAAAGTGAAGCTGCTTAAGCCATGATTTAATGATAATAAGAGATTATCTTAGCTTAACCAAAGGTAAAATCATGGTGTGCATACAGGTATTTATGCACATGTACATAGTACGTGGTATGCAATGTAAAACATAAATTATTTATTTTGAAATTTCAGTTTAACATTTTCGGTCTATGGTTGAATGCAGGTAACTGATACTGCTCAAAGCAAAACTGCAGATAAGGGGGGACTACTGTATGAAAAATTGTTTCACTTGGCTGGGCGCGGTGGCTCAAGTCTGTAATCCCAGCACTTTGGGAGGCCAAGGCAGGTGGATCACAAGGTCAGAAGATCGAGACCATCCTGGCTAACATGGTGAAACCTCATCTCTACTAAAAATATAAAAAAAAATTAGCTGGGCGTGGTGGCAGGTGCCTGTACTCCCAGCTACTCAGGAGGCTGAGGCAGGAGAATGTCATGAACCCAGGAGGCGGAGGTTGCAGTGAGCAGAGACCGTGCCACTGGACTCCAGCCTGGGCGACAGAGCAAGACTCAATCTCAAAAAAAAAGGAAGAAAGAAAGAAAAATTGTTTCTCTCTAGCATACAGCTTAAGCTAAGAAGTAAAAGAAAGCCTCAGAGGAGCCAAGATGGCCAAATAGGAACAGCTCCGGTCTACAGCTCCCAGCGTGAGCGACGCAGAAGACGGGTGATTTCTGCATTTCCATCTGAGGTACCGGGTTCATCTCACTAGGGAGTGCCAGACAGTGGGCGCAGGTCAGTGGGTGAGTGCACCGTGCGCGAGCAGAAGCAGGGCGAGGCATTGCCTCACTTGGGAAGCGCCACGGGTCAGGGAGTTCCCTTTCTGAGTCAAAGAAAGGGGTGACGGACGGCACCTGGAAAATCGGGTTACTCCCACCCGAATACTGCGCTTTTCCAACGGGCTTAAAAAACGGCGCACCAGGAGATTATATCCGGCACCTGGCTCGCAGGGTCCTACGCCCACAGAGTCTCGCTGGTTGCTAGCACAGCAGTCTGAGATCAAACTGCAAGGAGGCTGCGAGGCTGGGGGAGGGGCGCCCGCCATTGCCCAGGCTTGATTAGGTAAACAAAGCAGCCGGGAAGCTCCAACTGGGTGGAGCCCACCACAGCTCAAGGAAGCCTGCCTGCCTCTGTAGGCTCCACCTCTGGGGGCAGGGCACAGACAAACAAAAAGACAGCAGTAACCTCTGCAGACTTAAATATCCCTGTCTGACAGCTTTGAAGAGAGCAGTGGTTCTCCCAGCACACAGCTGGAGATCTGAGAACGGGCAGACTGCCTCCTCAAGTGGGTCCCTGACCCCTGAGCCCCGAGCAGCGTAACTGGGAGGCACCCCCCAGCAGGGGCACACTGACACCTCACACGGCAGGGTATTCCAACAGACCTGCAGCTGAGGGTCCTCTCTGTTAGAAGGAAAACTAACAAACAGAAAGGACATCCACACCAAAAACCCATCTGTACATCACCATCATCAAAGACCAAAAGTAGATAAAACCACAAAGATGGGGAAAAAACAGAATAGAAAAACTGGAAACTCTAAAAAGCAGAGCACCTCTCCTCCTCCAAAGGAACGCAGTTCCTCACCAGCAACGGAACAAAACTGGATGGAGAATGACTTTGACGAGCTGAGAGAAGAAGGCTTCAGACGATCAAATTACTCTGAGCTACGGGAGGACATTGAAACCAAAGGCAAAGAAGTTGAAAACTTTGAAAAAAATTTAGAAGAATGTATAACTAGAATAACCAATACAGAGAAGTGCTTAAAGGAGCTGATGGAGCTGAAAACCAAGGCTCGAGAACTACGTGAAGAATGCAGAAGCCTCAGGAGCCGATGCGATCAACTGGAAGAAAGGGTATCAGCAACGGAAGATGAAATGAATGAAATGAAGCGAGAAGGGAAGGTTAGAGAAAAAAGAATAAAAAGAAATGAGCAAAGCCTCCAAGAAATATGGGACTATGTGAAAAGACCAAATCTACGTCTGATTGGTGTACCTGAAAGTGATGGGGAGAATGGAACCAAGTTGGAAAACACTCTGCAGGATATTATCCAGGAGAACGTCCCCAATCTAGCAAGGCAGGCCAACGTTCAGATTCAGGAAATACAGAGAACGCCACAAAGATACTCCTTGAGAAGAGCAACTCCAAGACACATAATTGTCAGATTCACCAAAGTTGAAATGAAGGAAAAAATGTTAAGGGCAGCCAGAGAGGAAGGTCGGGTTACCCTCAAAGGGAAGCCCATCAGACTAACAGTGGATCTCTTGGCAGAAACCCTACAAGCCAGAAGAGAGTGGGGGCCAATATTCAACATTCTTAAAGAAAAGAATTTTCAACCCAGAATTTCATATCCAGCCAAACTAAGCTTCACAAGTGAAGGAGAAATAAAATACTTTACAGACAAGCAAATGCTGAGAGATTTTGTCACCACCAGGCCTGCCTTACAAGAGCTCCTGAAGGAAGCACTAAACATGGAAAGGAACAACCGGTACCAGCTGCTGCAAAATCATGCCAAAATGTAAAGATCATCCAGACTAGGAAGAAACTGCATCAACTAACGAGCAAAATAACCAGCTAGCATCATAATGACAGGATCAAATTCACACATAACAATATTAACTTTAAATGTCAATGGACTAAATGCTCCAATTAAAAGACAGAGACTGGCAAATTGGATAAAGAGTCAAGACCCATCAGTGTGCTGTATTCAGGAAACCCATCTCACGTGCAGAGACACACATAGGCTCAAAATAAAAGGATGGAGGAAGATCTACCAAGTAAATGGAAAACAAAAAAAGGCAGGGGTTGCAATCCTAGTCTCTGATAAAACAGACTTTAAACCAACAAAGATCAAAAGAGACAAAGAAGGCCATTACATAATGGTAAAGGGATCAATTCAACAAGAAGAGCTAACTATCCTAAATATATATGCACCCAATACAGGAGCACCAAGATTCATAAAGCAAGTCCTGAGTGACCTACAAAGAGACTTAGACTCCCACACATTAATAATGGGAGACTTTAACACCCCACTGTCAACATTAGACAGATCAATGAGACAGAAAGTCAACAAGGATACCCAGGAATTGAACTCAGCTCTGCACCAAGCAGACCTAATAGACATCTACAGAACTCTCCACCCCAAATCAACAGAATATACATTTTTTTCAGCACCACACCACACCTATTCCAAAATTGACCACATACTTGGAAGTAAAGCTCTCCTCAGCAAATGTAAAAGAACAGAAATTATAACAAACTATCTCTCAGACCACAGTGCAATCAAACTAGAACTCAGGATTAACAATCTCACTCAAAACCACTCAACTACATGGAAACTGAACAACCTGCTCCTGAATGACTACGGGGTACATAACGAAATGAAGGCAGAAATAAAGATGTTCTTTGAAACCAACGAGAACAAAGACACAACATACCAGAATCTCTGGGACTCATTCAAAGCAGTGTGTAGAGGGAAATTTATAGCACTAAATGCCCACAAGAGAAAGCAGGAAAGATCCAAAATTGACACCCTAACATCACAATTAAAAGAACTAGAAAAGCAAGAGCAAACACATTCTAAAGCTAGCAGAAGGCAAGAAATAACTAAAATCAGAGCAGAACTGAAGGAAATAGAGACACAAAAAACCCTTCAAAAAATTAATGAATCCAGGAGCTGGTTTTCTGAAAGGATCAACAAAATTGATAGACCGCTAGCAAGACTAATAAAGAAAAAAAGAGAGATGAATCAAATAGATGCAATAAAAAATGATAAAGGGGATATCACCACCGATCCCACAGAAATACAAACTACCATCAGAGAATACTACAAACACATCTATGCAAATAAACTAGAAAATCTAGAAGAAATGGATAAATTCCTCAACACATACACTCTCCCAAGACTAAACCAGGAAGAAGTTGAATCTCTGAATAGACCAATAACAGGAGCTGAAATTGTGGCAATAATCAATAGCTTACCAACCAAAAAGAGTCCAGGACCAGATGGATTCGCAGCCGAATTCTACCAGAGGTACAAGGAGGAACTGGGACCATTCCTTCTAAAACTATTCCAATCAATAGAAAAAGAGGGAGTCCTCCCTAACTCATTTTATGAGGCCAGCATCATCCTGATACCAAAGCCGGGCAGAGATACAACCAAAAAAGAGAATTTTAGACCAATATCCTTGATGAACATTGATGCAAAAATCCTCAATAAAATACTGGCAAAACGAATCCAGCAGCACATCAAAAAGCTTATCCACCATGATCAAGTGGGCTTCATCCCTGGGATGCAAGGCTGGTTCAATATACGCAAATCAATAAATGTAATCCAGCATATAAACAGAGCCAAAGACAAAAACCATATGATTATCTCAATAGATGCAGAAAAAGCCTTTGACAAAATTCAACAACCCTTCATGCTAAAAACTCTCAATAAATTAGGTATTGATGGGACGTATTTCAAAATAATAAGAGCTATCTATGACAAACCCACAGCCAATATCATACTGAATGGGCAAAAACTGGAAGCATTCTCTTTGAAATCTGGCACAAGACAGGGATGCCCTCTCTCACCACTCCTATTTAACATAGTGTTGGAAGTTCTGGCCAGGGCAATTAGGCAGGAGAAGGAAATAAAGGGTATTCAATTAGGAAAAGAGGAAGTCAAATTGTCCCTGTTTGCAGACGACATGATTGTATATCTAGAAAACCCCATTGTCTCAGCCCAAAATCTCCTTAAGCTGATAAGCAACTTCAGCAAAGTCTCAGGATACAAAATCAATGTACAAAAATCACAAGCATTCTTATACACCAACAACAGACAAACAGAGAGCCAAATCATGAGTGAACTTCCATTCACAATTGCTTCAAAGAGAATAAAATACCTAGGAATCCAAATTACAAGGGATGTGAAGGACCTCTTCAAGGAGAACTACAAACCACTGCTCAAGGAAATAAAAGAGGATACAAACAAATGGAAGAAAATTCCATGCTCATGGGTAGGAAGAATCAATATCGTGAAAATGGCCATACTGCCCAAGGTAATTTACAGATTCAATGCCATCCCCATAAAGCTACCAATGACTTTCTTCACAGAATTGGAAAAAACTACTTTAAAGTTCATATGGAACCAAAAAAGAGCCCGCATCGCCAAGTCAATCCTAAGCCAAAAGAACAAAGCTGGAGGCATCACACTACCTGACTTCAAACTATACTACAAGGCTACAGTAAGCAAAACGGCATGGTACTGGTACCAAAACAGAGATATAGATCAATGGAACAGAACAGAGCCCTCAGAAATAACGCCGCATATCTACAACTATCTGATCTTTGACAAACCTGACAAAAACAAGCAATGGGGAAAGGATTCCCTATTTAATAAATGGTGCTGGGAAAACTGGCTAGCCATATGTAGAAAGCTGAAACTGGATCCCTTCCTTGCACCTTATACAAAAATTAATTCAAGATGGATTAAAGACTTAAATGTTAGACCTAAAACCATAAAAACCCTAGAAGAAAACCTAGGCATTACCATTCAGGACATAGGCATGGGCAAGGACTTCATGTCTAAAACACCAAAAGCAATGGCAACAAAAGCCAAAATTGACAAATGGGATCTAATTCAACTAAAGAGCTTCTGCACAGCAAAAGAAACTACCATCAGAGTGAACAGGCAACCTACAAAATGGGAGAAAATTTTCGCCACCTACTCATCTGACAAAGGGCTAATATCCAGAATCTACAATGAACTCAAACAAATTTACAAGAAAAAAGCAAACAACCCCATCAAAAAGTGGGTGAAGGACATGAACAGACACTTCTCAAAAGAAGACATTTATGCAGCCAAAAAACACATGAAAAAATGCTCATCATCACTGGCCATCAGAGAAATGCAAATCAAAACCTCAATGAGATACCATCTCACACCAGTTAGAATGGCAATCATTAAAAAGTCAGGAAACAACAGGTGCTGGAGAGGATGTAGAGAAATAGGAACACTTTTACACTGTTGGTGGGACTGGAAACTAGTTCAACCATTGTGGAAGTCAGTGTGGCGATTCCTCAGGGATCTAGAACTGGAAATACCATTTGACCCAGCCATCCCATTACTGGGTATATACCCAAAGGACTATAAATCATGCTGCTATAAAGACACATGCACACGTATGTTTATTGCGGCATTATTCACAATAGCAAAGACTTGGAACCAACCCAAATGCCCAACAATGATAGACTGGATTAAGAAAATGTGGCACATATACACCATGGAATACTATGCAGCCATAAAAAATGATGAGTTCATGTCCTTTGTAGGGACATGGATGAAATTGGAAATCATCATTCTCAGTAAACTATCGGAAGAACAAAAAACCAAACACCGCATATTCTCACTCATAGGTGGGAATTGAACAATGAGATCACATGGACACAGGAAGGGGAATATCACACTCTGGAGACTGTTGTGGGGTGTGGGGAGGGGGGAGGGATAGCATCGGGAGATATACCTAATGCTAGATGACGAGTTAGTGGGTGCAGCACACCAGCATGGCACATGTATACATATGTAACTAACCTGCACAATGTGCACATGTACCCTAAAACTTAAAGTATAATAAAAAAAAAGAAAGCCTCATGCTTCACAGCTTATTGCTTCTTCGATATTATTAACTTATGAAATCAAAGAAGAACCTTAGCTATGATTCCTAATTATGATATTATTATTAATAATAACCAATGTACTTATCCCTTACTACTTATTCTCAGTACTTTACATATGTTCCTTATTTCATCCTCGAAGGTGTGCCCTATGAGGTAGGAACTCTTATAAATTTTTTAAAAGTATGACAGGTACGTATTAGAGAGGTTCTATTTTTGAAGCCAGAATTTAAACACAGGCAATCTGGTTTCAGGGTTGAGGCTTGCTACTTCCTGAGAGAGAGCTTATGTATTGCTTGGAAACACTTCTGTGTCTTTACTCTTTTAGAGGCAATCTAGTCTCCTTCTGGATGTGATGTATTTACCAGATTACTTTTTTCTTCAGTTTCCTCACCTTTAAATTTAGACAATAACAGTTACCATTACAGCAGATCATATAGGTAAAATACTTAGTACATGTCCTAGCACAAATAAAGTGTTTGAGAAATGATAACAATCATTATTATTACTTTTATTATTGTTATCATGATAAGATAGTTTGGAAATAATAAAGCTGATGTATAACCAGTCTGACTTTATTAGGAGGGATTTTAGAACTGAGAGTCTTTCCAATCATTGTAAAAGAGGAAGTAATGTTCTTAGAGATCATAATAGAGGTTAAAATTAGATAATACAGAGGTACTATCTATTATTCTAGATAAAGTTAAAGGCAGTCATAGAACTTGTCCATATAGAAGCCATGCAGCATAGGGGAAGGTTTTCAGGTGTGTTGTCTTTGGGTAGAATAACCTCGCCAAAAGAAGGTCAGGTCTACAGAAATTCAGTCAGTGCCTTAAAGGAGGAGGATATTTTGCTGGCATTCACGTATTGATGCAAATGAATACTCAGAGTCTACTAAAGTTGGTGTGGTATGTGGATACAGCAAAGAAAGTAATGAGTAAGTGTTCTTGTCTCCTCCAGGTATACAGATTTGAGAAGCTACTAAACCATAGAAATTACATCATTAGAGATAGCATAGACTTTTTATCTTTACCAACTTCCTGCTACCACATTAAGTAGAAGTGGTAACATCTGCTCTCCATGCAGGTAGCTAGCACTTCCCATGTAGGGCAATTGGATCCCCACCAAGTGAACAACTCAGCTGTCTGGTATCTCTCTTAAGTGCATCTTTATTAAAATCTTGAGCTGTAAAAATAAATTTGCTTATTTTCCATTCACTACAGGTAGGACTTATGTCTTTTATTTTTCGGGCATAACATGGATTAATAAATATGTAGTATTTCCATGTCATTATTTCATTGATTTTTTTTCTTTATATGGTGGAAAAAACTTTATTGAAATTTTTCTGGTCAACAGAGGTCCATAAAATATATTTAATATAATCATAGATTCAATATTATTTCATAAGAACATAATTTTATAGAAAATGTATTGTATGTCTAATATAATGTTCATGACCTCATATATTTATTGATATATAATGTCCATAGGTTAACATTTTTCCTCATAGAAATGAAGGGTAAATCAGTTTGTCCAAAGTAACACAGCTGATTTGTCATTGTCCTTTTTTGTTTCAATGTGCCCTCTATTCAATATATTTGTGAGTAGTTTCAGAAATAAGCCTAAGTGTTATTTGTTCCTTTGGAAGGTAGTTTACCAGATGTTTGTTTTAAGGATTTCAGATGTACAAGTCTTAAATTGTACACAGGGCTGTATCTAGAGCTTGTATGGGAGATGGGGTCTTCATATGCTTTTTTTTTTTAATTTTATTTTCATTGTCCTTGTTTGGATTCTTATTATCTCTACCCTGAAGTCCTTCCAGCAGGACAGAAATATTCTAATTTTAACATCTGATGGAGTGAGAACTGCTGGTTCTAAGAAGCCTAAAATTTTCTTCCAAAGGAAAGAAATGCTGTTTTGGGGAGTTTGTGTTTTAGAGTGAATCCAGGAAGTTGGAGGACCTGGCATTATCTAAGAAATTACATTCATACAACGTTCCAATTGGCTTTCTCGTCTCATCTCAATGGCCTTCCCACAAGGTACACAATGGCTAAATTAAATCTGGTAAAGCATGAGTCTTGGCTCTTGATAGAATAATTTTGGCTACAGTATAAATTTCAGCCACCTAAGGCTCATTTTAAAGCCATTCATTATCTAAATTTCTAATCCTATCTCCGTTATTTTCCTAAATACTGTATATTTAGAAAACTTGACTATGTTCACTCCTATGTCCATATCCAAAATTACCTTTTACTCATAGATACTTCATGCTTTCATTATATTAATCAGTTTATACTTTACATTTTTGCAAATTTTAATTGTAGCTTGTCTTCCCCTCTCACATCAAAGCCTGTGGCCATGGGTTATCTCTTTTCATCTGCATGATTACCATGCACTAGTAGAGGGCAAGCAGCTGACTGATTTTGGGTATGACTCACATATGAATTAGATTTTAAGCCTCAAAAACACCTATGATGTAGTCACTAGCTCTATTTTATAGTAAGAACATGGAGTCTCTGAGTGTTTAGTTAGGCTCAGAAATTGATTACATATAACCCACTCCTTTGGAAGGTAGTTTATTACATGTTTGTTTTAAAGAATACAGATATACAAGTCTTAATATTTACACAGGGCCCAATCCTAACATAATCTGAATATTATGTCACAGTGCCAGTCATAGTCACTTGGATACAGTAGGTGATCAACTAAAATGTATTTATTCGTGAAAGAATGGGATTAATATAATAGTATACTGTTTATTTCTCACTAATAATTGCCTCATAACTTTCAAGTATAAAATTTGTCCAAAATATACCAATTTCAGAGAAGAAAAAGGCTATTCCCAGTATTTCATAATTTATGAATTATGTTTATGTCAATATAACTTTTTCCACCACCGAGCCAACTTGCTGTTACAAAGAAAAGGCACGTAATAAAATCAGACTTCTTCTAAAGTGAGGCTGCCTCCCTAATTGCAAATGTAAATGTTGCCAGGTGTTCAGCTCCCTTGTCCTAATAAATAAATAATTAGAAAACATGATTAATATGAAGCCTTGCTGCCTAGCTGTGTAGAGTGTTCTTAGAGAGCAATGTTGGGAATTGGACTTGGAGGGAAGAGTATATGCTTGATGGGATGCTTCCAAGTCATCCTGGCAAGAAAGCATCACATGAGTATGCACACTATGAGTGCCCTACTTGGGGCCAGAACAGAATTATAGACTTGGGAGAAGCAAACAAAGTCCCCCTTGGCTGCTAGAGATGGGAGTTAGATGAAGCATCATCTGAAATCAAGATACTTTGATTCAGTTGTGTTCTGAGTCAGACCATATTTTTTTTACCCAAATCTATCATTTTCTTTTTTTAAAATTTAATTTAATTTTTTATTACACTTTAAGTTCTAGGGTACATGTGCACAACGTGCAGGTTTGTTACATATGTATACATGTGTCATGCTGGTTAACTAGCTTTTCTTATCTTTCATTTCATCAGTTTTCTAATCACTATAATAACACCTGTTTCAATTGTAAACATTGAATTAGTTTGTGAACATGCAAATGCCTAGAACAAAAGTCTTTTTCTTTTTCTTTTTTTTCTCCATTGCACTTTTATTTGAATGTAATATTTGGGACAATTATTCAAAAGGGCCAATATTTCCCAATTTAATCTGAGGTCATAATAAAACAAGCAACAAAACAGTTTTTGGGATTTCAGTTTCTCACCCTTATCATCAAGACTCACTGCCTCCCATCATTAATATTTACTGAGCATTTATAGTGTACTAGGCACAACAGAACATACAGAAAACATTATCTCAGTGTCTAAGGCACCCTGCTTCCTTTGCTTGCATCCCTAAAACAAAAGTCTTTTTCAAATAATAGTTATTAGCCCTTATTTTCTTCATCTGCAAAATGGAAATCATGTTTAGAAAACAATGCATATTATATTTCCTCATTGGAAAAGTATAATGCTCATCAGCATATCAAAATCTCTTAAGCATTTCTACAATAAAGAAGCCTACATAATTTTAACTCAGTAATCCACATACTTATGCAACCACAATAATGTAACCATTCACTTTGCTAAATACATTTTGGAAAATATAGTCTTATCTTAGGAAATATTGTGATGAATAATTAAGATATTATACCTGTAAATAAACAATATGAGCATCTATCCTCTTCTGCTGATCCAGAAATATGGGGAAACAAATCAGCATGTTTAGAGAACAACAACAACAAAAAGCTATCAATACAGAATTCTGAAAACTCACATTGGGTTGAATACTTGTTGCACCCAGAATCCTCTATTTAGGGTCCATGGTTTTGTGTAGGATTGTGACTTTTTAGAATGAGAAGATATTTTCAAATTGAAATCCAAAGTGACAAGGGATTTTATCAATGGAGCACCATGAAAGATTGTTTTTTTACAAATGGCCAAATATTTCTTCCTGTCCCTTGCAGCATTGCTGTTCCTTTCATGTGGAGTTAGAATCTATTTCTCTAACTTCTGAATTTGTTCTTTGCTGTGTGACTTGCACTGGCCAAAGGAGTATTTACAAATAAAATGCAAGCAAAAACTTCCAAAATGTTGGTTTATTGGAACTTCTCCTCTCTCTGGCTTTTGTATGGAAATCCTCTGCAACTGTGTTCACAAGCCCAGGCTGACTTGCTGCCGGAGAAGAAATTATGCAAAGACAGGCTGCAGCCATCCCAATCATCCCAAGAGTGGTTCCAGCACAGGATAAATAAGCAAGTCAAACCCCAGCAAAGCCATAATAGACCTTTCAAAGTTTCCTCAGGTCTCTTTCCCACCATTATTTGTGATCAGAAAACTTACAAAATATGTACCCACTTATTCCATTTTTAAACACAGCATATTGTATTGTTAAATTTAAGAACTATTGTGTACAATAAATCTATAGAACTTATTCATCTAGTATAACTGAAAGTTTACATCCATTGAAAAACCCTTCATTGCCTCCAGCCCTCAGCACCTGGCAATCGCTATTGAATTTTCTGTTGTAGTTTTTTTTCTTTTTTTCTGAAATTGTAGGAGTTTCTTATGTATTTTGAAAATTAACCCCTTATCGAACATATGGCTTGCAAATATTTTCTTCCACTCCACAGATTGACTTTTCATTTTGTTAATTGTTTCCTTTGCTGTTCAGAAGCTTTTTAGTTTGATGAGTCCCACTTATCTACTTTTGCTTTTGTTGCCTGTGCTTTTGGTGTCATATCCAATAAGTAATTGCCAATATGATTCTATACACTAAAAACGCCCATCTAAAAATAAAATTTAGAAAACAATCCCATTACAAGAGCATCAATAAAACCCTGAAATATTTAGGAATAAACTTAACCAATAAGGTAAAAAAAATTGTACACTTAAAACTACAAAACATTGATGAAAGAAATTAAAGACACATGGAAAGATATCCTAGGTTCATAAATTAAAACACTTAGCATTTTTCAAGTGACTATTTCAACTAAAACAATCTAAGCTATCCCCTTTAAAATCCCAATGGATTTTGTTTTACAGATAAAAAAAAATCTTAACATTTATATGGCATCCCAAAAGACATAGAATAGTTAAAGCAATCTTGAAAGAGAACAAAGCTTGAGGCACAGCATTCTTGATTTTAAAATATACTGCAAAGCTATAGTAATCAAAAGATTACTGGTTTAAAACAGTATGGTACTAACATAAAGACAGACATATAGGTCACTGAAACAAAATATAGACCCCAGAAACAAATCTACACATCTATGGTGAGCAGATCTCCAAAAAGGGTGACAATGGGGAAAGGTTAATTTCTTCTTCATGTGTTTAAAAAAAAGAATATCCGCATGGAAAGGAAGGAAGGAAGGAAGGAGAAAGAGAGAAAAGAGGGAAGGGAAGGGAAGGGGAGGGGAGGGGAGGGGAGGAGAGGGAAAAGGAAAGGAAAGGAAAGGAAGGAAAGGGAAGGAAAGGAAAGGAAGAAAGAAAATTGGGCCTCGGCTTTGCACCATACACACAATAAACTCAAAATAGAATCAGGACCTAAACGTAAGTCCTGAAACCATAAAACTCCTAGAGTAAAACATTGGAATAGCTTTAATGCCAGAATAGTTAATGAGCACATGCAAAACTAAGAATTACAGGGCAACTTACTGGTTTATAGCATGAAATATTTCCAGAATAAAACAGGTCAAGATTTTACTGCCTAATAATTGCATCTTCAATATTCTATAACCAGATTCTCTCTTATTAATTTTGTTAACTATCATAAGACTAGTTTAGAATAATGGCTTCATGTATATACACTCATGATATTTTATTCTTATACCAAAATATATTTATTGTTGGCTTCCTTTTGCCAGCACGAACATCGTCTCTTTTCCACTAACAAATACCAATATGTTCGTGTCTTCGTTCATGTTATCACTTTGCTTGTTACCTAGCTTGCTCTAAATAAGATGAGAAAAATAATTGTAGTGAAGAAGAACCTTAGATAAAAGGAATCAGAATTTAGAGCTTAAAGTTTTTTTTAGATTTATATGTTGAAGTGAGCCTTGCGGCAAAGCAGATTAAATTGATCAATATGGATGTTGAAGATTTCGGCAGAAAAATTGTTGAGGAACTCAACTTTCAATATATGGCTCAGTGGGATGGAAGTGGAAGGAATTCTCTTCTTTCTGGTTCCCAGGGTTTTCAAAATTTTGGAGCATCTAGAGATCTCATTCGGATACGATCAGAGCCACTCTCACAATCAGCAGTTATTGCTCCTCAAGTGGTTTTATAGCCAGCAAATGTAGGCAACTGGCAAACAGAAGTAATTTTTAAAAGATAGAATTGACACTATCTTCAATATACTTGAGAGACTTGTTGAATGTCACATGCATGGAACCACTTTGATGACTCTCAGGGTTAACTAAGAGTGGAAGGAAAAAAAAAGTTAGGGAATACAAAGGTAGATGAGAAGTCTTGCTCCTATATCAATAAGGGCAGCTAGACCAGAATGTGCCTATCATGTGGGGAAAGAAACAGAAAACACCTATTTAGGAGAACACACTTTTTCCTGTCATTTTCTATATCGACTTGCACAGAGACTTGCCTCTCCCCAGCTAATATTGCTTAAAGTCACTCACTGTTACTTTATTATTCTTTTTGTTTTTTGGTAAGTTTAATCAAGGTGTCTTCTCTTAGTACTGTTCCAAAGATAGAGGCAGAAGAGCACAGCGGTTCAGGGTGCAGGTTTCAAATACCAGTAGGAATTGTGGCCTACCATTCACTTACTAGTTTTGTGAAAAATTTGACTAGTTTTTTTATATTTTTATTTTTTACCATTACATTGTTGAGGCTTCTTATTGATACACTGGTATGATACCAAGGTGGCATCTTCTTACTGGTAAACTGATATCATACCAATGCAGTATTTAATATAGTAACATGTTTAAAATGCTAATTTGAGTCATTGGTAAACAGCAATAACTCACAAAATGTTAAGCATTATGGTCTTTATTATAAACAGGGCTCGATTTTCATCGCATTTTTCATCAAGAATACTTATTTTTACATCTTATTATTATTATTATTATTATTATTATTATTATTTTGAGGCAGAGTCTTACTCTGTCCCCAGGCCGGAGTCCAGTGGTGTGATCTTGGCTCATGTTATTTGGGTTACTATAAACCCATGTTATTTGGGTTACTATAAACTTGTAGTATAATTTGAAGTCTTTCTTTTGGAACTTTCTTAAACTTTTCAGATCTTTGTTCACGTTACCCATCTGCTCTTACATGTTTCCTAATTTCCCTTACGGCCTTTCATATATTATCCACAGGCTATTTCAACATCTGTATCATTTCTAAATGTGACATTGATATTCACTTTGTCTCTTTATACTGTATTTCTTCTTGTCTTTTCATCGTCTTAAATTTTTGGTTGAAAACCTGGTGTAATCTACAGGGTAACAAGAACACAGATGAAGGCCTTTACATTTTAATCTGGCTGCGGTTGAGCTATGTTTAATGATTTCTGTAGCTGTAGGTATCAATTGCTTCAAATTTGTTTGGTGTTTTTAATTTTACCTCCTTCTTAATCAGATTCAGGACCTCTCAGTCCTTCTAGCTATAATCCACCGTTATAATACTGGATCCCCGATGATACGGTGCTAAGATTTAGAGAGGAGATTAATCCTATAGCCTTTAATTAAATCTCAGTCTTTTGGTGGGCATGTGTCTTGGCAACACACATCATAAGCATCTTTTCCCTTGCCTCTTAGGTGATATAGGAAAGCTAGAGGGAACTGAAGCTGGGTACATATCCTTTCACTCTAAGATAAGACTCTGGAAAATTCTTTTATTCTGGGTACTGAGACTTTATTGCAGAGAATATCATGGACATATTTCAAAATGGATATTTTTACCTTTCCCTGATACAGCCATGAGTGGACCTTGTTTGGCTCTTTGCTGTGAGAAACTATGGTGTTTTCGGGATATACACTGCATAAAAAGTGTGGAGACCTCGACTACTGTGGTCCTAAAGAGATGGTAATTCTTATGCTAGTCTGCATTCAGCTTTCAGCAATTTTTTAGAAAATTACCATTTAAATGCTTTTATTATTTCATGGCTCCAGTAGCTTCTGCTCAAGGTAAGAATAACTTTGTTGTGATTATATCTATTTTCCTGTCACTCCAGATTTCCTGAGGGTGGCTTGCCCTACCTCATTTATTTGATGAGTTAGTTTATTCTGCTTTTGTATCCTTGCAAGGATGATAGAAATGGCTTTATATGGAGCTGAAACCATAACGCTTTGCTTCATTTTTGAAAAATTATATTGCTCAATGTAAAATTATTAGTTGATTATTTTTAACTTTCAGCCCTTTGAACATGTTGTCCCACTACTTTCTGCTCTCCATTGTTTTTGATGATCTTATCGAGTTCCCCTTGTACATGATACGTTTTTTACTGTTTGTTTTTCCCGCTTTCAAGATTTTATGTTTGTCTTTATAGCTTCACTAACTGAATATGATGTCTCCCCATGTGGGTCTCTTTCACTCTATCCTACCTAGAATTTGTTGAGCTTCTAGGATATGTACTTTAATGTTTTTAAAAATCAAATTTGTGACGTTTCTGCCAATATTCCTTTGGATATTTTTCTTCCTTTTTCTATCTCTTCTCTTTTCCTAATATTTTTATTATGGTTGTTACTGGTGGCAAGTGGAGAAACAGCGGCAAGTCCCAGCGAGCTTCTTCCTTGTCCTCTCACAAGAAAGATTTTGACCGACAGACCTAGGCAAGTTTTAAAATCAGAGGCAAAGGGTTATTGAAAGAAGTATAATTGGAAGAGGCCCAAGTGGGGGACTTCAGAGTGCACCGCTTATAGCTTGGAATGTTTTTGTTTGTTTGTTTTGACGCAGGGTCTGGCTCTGTCACCCAGGCTGGAGTGCAGTGGTGCCATCACAGCTCACTGCAGCCTCAATTTTCTATGCTCAAGCGATACTCCCATACTACCACCTCAGCCTCCCGGGTAGCTGGGACCACAGGCACGACCCATCAGGCCCAGTTAATTTTTTGTATTTTTAGTAGAGACAGGGCCAGACGAGGGGAGGCGGGGCAAGGGGGTTGGGGTTGGGGGTTTGCCATGTTGCCCTGCCTGGTCTCAAACTCCTGGGCTCAAGAGATCTACCAGCCTTGGCCTCCCGCAATGCTGGGACTACAGGCATGAGTCACTGTCCTTAGCCGCTTGGGATTTTTATACATTGGCTTTCTTATGGGGGTTTGCTTCTCTTCACTTGCTCCCTCCCTTGGACCTTGGGGCGGGCTGTTGCTCAGTTGCCACATGGCAATGGTCGGCCAGCACTTGGGAGGGGCCGCATGCACAGTGTGTTCAGTGAAGTTCTGCACTTGCTCACTTGGGGCGATTTTTCCCTTCTGGTCCAGCGCCCGCAGAGGAAGGTTATGTACGAGTTAAAACTCTGCCATTTTGCCGCCTACTGCGCATGCTTAAGACCTTATCAGGGACTTGAGGTTTGCTGGCTCCAGATGTTTGCTACCTGTTGAGGAAGTTGTTTTCTACCTCTTCGTCTTGGAGCCAGTTGTGACCACTTGTCATTTCAGAGGGACAGTTTTATGATCTGACCATCACCCTATGACTGCCTGCCATTTCTGGGGGCCCTCTCCTGCCCTGCTCATGTCTGTCTAAATACCTACTCTAACTTGGTGTCCCATATTTCTCAGAGACTGTTTATTCCCCTCCTCCTAGTCTTTATTCTATTCTCTTAATCTTTATAGACATTAATCTCAGTTTTGGCATCTAGAATTTTCTCACTAGAATATTATATCCATATCACTTTAAACTTGTTTTATTGAAAACAAGATTCCTCATTTCCTGAGAGTCCTAAATACGGAGGATGCCTCAGAAAATCGTGCTTCCTGGGTTTATATCTTCAGGTTACTTAAAAGTTTGCAAGTTCTCCATGAAGAACAGTGTTCATGAGAAATCTGGTGTTGTGCCACTGTTGTTGCTGTTGCTGCTGTTGCTGCTGTTGTTGCTGCTGATGCTCCAAGAGTTGTGGCATGCATCTTATTTAGATTATTTTTACTTGTCTGAATTCACCCTATTTCAAAATTATTTTATTCAAATGGATAGGAGAACTTTACATGCTAAATAAAATTATGTGTATTCAAAATATTTTTTATTTTACTTCCAAAATGCTTTATAAATTATTGTTAAATCTTATTCTTCTGGTGCAAGCAGTTTGTGACCCCATCCCACTTTGCGACTAGCTGACTCATGCTTTTCACTTATTATCTGCAGTCCCACATTCTGAGAAGTCTTCTGATATCCCTCAAGACTAAATTTGATATGCCTTTCTGTTATCTCCAAACTCATGTGATTGCCTTGTGCTTTTCTTTCCAATTATTTCTTCTATTTCAGTTGATGAGTCCAAACCTCATAACTTCTCTCTCTCTTCACATCTTTCTACAGATTGGTTTGAGGATGACAGGGTTAAGCCAAGTCAGATAAATGAGTAAATAAGAGATGCTGGAGTTTCTGAGCAGGGAAAAGAACTTCCTCTTTTGAAATAAATAAAATATTCAGTAGGATCCAGGCTTGCTGTGTGCACCACACATGTACAGGGAAACTCATGGCTCCTATTGTTATTAATAACCATATTATAAACATGAGAGAAGACCAGCCAAATAATTAAATAGCTATTCTAAGAGTAAAAAGCTCTAAGGAACCTAGAACTTTGAAGAAACGTCAAATCATTTTTTTCACTTCCCCTGAAGCCTGTACATCTCTGAATGTCTTCATAAATATACTTGGTTATTCAATTATTTGGTTTGGATTTGGTGACACTTATATCTGGAAAAAATATCAAATGATCAAGTTCCCTTACAGGAGTATCATTATTTATTTCAATTTATGTATATCTTTTTCTCCCAGTATGTTGAAGCTTTTTTGAAGATAGGTATTAAGTCTAGTATAGCTTCCTAATGCCAAAGCCTGGTTATAGAGTCTAGCAAAAAGTCCTATCTCAATATATATAAATTTGTGTTTTGCCTATACTTGTAGAGATCTAAATTGTGACTCAGAAATATTAACTAACTTCCCAAATATCACATAACTCAAAAGCACCGGTCACCAATGTAGTGGTAGTCTCATCTTACCTAAATAACTTTTTTCTGCATTGTGAAATTTTACTTTCTAACTCTGTCTGTGATACTATAACATTTGTGTGCAGCTTTTCTCTGCACCATAATACTGATCTCATACCCTGAATATCTAGTATGTAGTCTACAATAAATAATAACAAATGTTTCACAAGTTGAGTCCAATCAAATTGCTTTCTTAGATGATTGCTTTAGAGATGCTTGGAGGGATGACTACTCAGTTATAAATAATTCAAAGCACCCAATATCTATTACACAGCAGACAATGTGCTGGATGGGTAATTTAAATGGGTCCAATGGAATTATCTCTTCAGAAAACTTTGCTTGTTTTCATTCAATATGCAAATGCTATCTACATATTTGTGCAGCAAATAATGGATTTACAAACTAGTTTTACATCATCCTTGTTGAATTTTGCCTCTTCAAATAAAAGTACAGATAACATAGCAGACAAAATTGCCCTTATCTATTGGTCTTTTTCTTAAAGATATATAAATTACAGTAATAAATATTTTCCCCCTCACCATCATCGTTATACAGTAAGTGACAACAAGAGACCCAGTGGATTAAAAGACATGTTTGTTTTCAATATTATTTGGATTTCCAGAGACAGTGAAGGATAGGTACAGAGTAGTCAATGAATGAGTAAAGCATATTAATGTCACATCACCATATTATAGATTTTTAGTTATTAAAATTCACATAATACAGTTTGATCTGAAAAAAAGAGCCCTAGAGAAATTTTTATTCAAGCAGTAGTAAAATAAAGGTAGCATATAAGATACATCAGCCTCAGGTAAGTTAAGCAATTTGCCCAAAATTATCCTAGTTAACACTTGCAGAGGGAGAAGCATAGACCCAGATTTTTTATGTATATACAAAGATTCATATAAACAATATATTTGTGATCGTTAAGTCAAATGCTGTAATTTTTAGGGAGAATATTGAAGCCAATAGAGGATAACTGTCAGGGAAGAAACTCGTTGATCTAGGAATAGAACCTAAAACACAGAAAGTTATCCATGAAAACAGGAAAGGTAGTTTTTCAGATAGAAAAAAAAAAAGGATTGTGGAGATAAATTGAGACAATAATCTAGTTTAAATCTGCCAAAACTTAGTATAAATAAAACTGCAAAATGCTTGTTTGGTTTAAAGTAGAGATGAAATTCAAATAAAATATAATGAACCATTTTAATATGTTCAATTCGCTGGCAGTTAGTAGATTAACAATGTTGTGTAACACAACCACTATGAAATGTTTCAGAAAACATTTTCATCTCCCCAGAATAAATAATTATTGAAATCCCATTCTTCTTCTTTAATTTAGCTCTTTATTTACAGTTTCTTTTAGCTCTTTCAACATTTTTAAGAAACTTGATACAAAGTCTTTGTGTAGTAAGCCTAATGCTTGGCCTCCTCAGGGGCAGTTTCTATTCATTTCTCCTCTTATTGGGCCGTATTTTCTTCTTTCTTTGCATGCTTTATAATTTGTCTTTGAAAATTTGACATTGCAAATGTAATTTCTAACTATAAAAATTATATGATTCTCCCTTCTTTAGATCTTCAGATTTTCTTTTGTGGTTGTATTTTTTAAAGACTTTTTTGTTTGTTTTTACTGTCCGTATTATTTGTTATGGGTGGTCTCTGAGGTATATGTTTCTTTATCTCATGTCTAGCTAGTATTTTCTCATAAAATTCCTTGAACCCCTGCAGTGAAAGAAAAAAAAAAGAAGAAAAGATAGATTAAAAAGACAGATAAATAGCTAGCTAGCTAGCTAGATGATTGATTGATAGATAGATAGAAAGATAGATAGATAGATAGATAGATAGATAGATAGATAGATAGATAGATGCATACATACTTATATACATGTATCTCTTCTAATCTTTGTAAATTGACATTGTGCTGGAACACTTCTTCAATGCCTAGACAGATCATTTGCAACTCTGTCTTAGCCTTCTCTTCCTGCTTGTGCACAGCTTAAAGATAAACCACTTGGAAAGCTGAGGGTCATCTCAGGTCTTTTCTGAGCATATGTGTAGCCATGGGAATGAATGTTGCCTTCTAATTTCTTTGGTATGTGCATGTGCTTTTCAATTACCTAATTTCTAAAGAACAACTCTCTCCGGCTTTCAGCATGGCTATAGTTTACCTCAGTTGTAATATTTTGCACCAAGTTGCAGTGGATTGTTAATTTACCTTACAATGTTTTTAAAGACTTTCCTCTGCCTAGCTCCTTTTAAACATGAAAAATTATAAATTAGGCAAAAAAAAAGGCACGTAGCTTGCAGAAGTCCTTTAGGAAATTCCCAGACAGGTTGAAACAGACAAATAAACATAATTTCTTTGGCATCTCAAGAACTGGGGCCAGAGTACCACACAGGAAATTCAGGATACCATCTTCAAGACCACTGCTGAAGGGAGTAGGACTAGGGCAAGTAAAATGCTGCAAATATTTTGTATAATTTTTAAGTTACCTTGTTCTTGACTCAGTGTTTACTTGTTTTCTGTAAATGGTTAACTATTTTCCAGCTTTCTGACAAAGTTGATTATCTTTTTGTTTCAATTTTTTAGTATGTTTGTGAAAAGATGAACACTTGGATCTGTCAATTTTACATTTTTTTTTGTTTGTTTTTGGCTGACCTCACACTCCACAATGACTTTTTGCTTGGAATGCCCAGGTTATATATAATGCTCACAGTCCTTAGACTTTACAAATAGCTGAAAAATAAACTTTTTTTTTTTTTTTTTTTTTTTTTTTTTTTTTTTTTGAGACGGAGTCTCGCTCTGTCGCCCAGGCTGGAGTGCAGTGGCGCGATCTCGGCTCACTGCAAGCTCCGCCTCCCGGGTTCACGCCATTCTCCTGCCTCAGCCTCCCAAGTAGCTGGGACTACAGGCGCGCGCCACTACGCCCGGCTAATTTTTTGTATTTTTAGTAGAGACGGGGTTTCACCGTTTTAGCCGGGATGGTCTCGATCTCCTGACCTCGTGATCCGCCCGCCTCGGCCTCCCAAAGTGCTGGGATTACAGGCGTGAGCCACCGCGCCCGGCCTGAAAAATAAACTTTTAGAAGAAAGTCTAGCTATGTAGAAATTTTGTCTATTCAGAATATGTTTATTTGAAAGCAAAAAAGTGACTGATCAACAAAGGTTTAAATATTGAAGTCATTAATTATCCTGCATTCGTGTGTGTGCCATCTGCATGTACACACACATACAGACTCCAGACATATTGAATATTCTGCCGTTTCTTAAGGAAGTTATTAAAATCATGGACTCTATCTTCTGGCTTTGCCACATGCTGCATCCACTTTCCAAACAGTTAAATTATGTTGACTCCTTGCACTTAAAAATGTCATTTCATCATTTCAAAATGGTTCCTGCAGCTTCTTACACAACAGGTTATAAGTAGTAATAAAGAGGAAAAGATAAAAAGTTTTCAGTTAATAAAGTTCTGTCTTTTATACAGGAATTTAAAATAATATTGAAGCTTTAAA
Source organism: Homo sapiens (assembly GCF_000001405.40). Classification (NCBI taxonomy): domain Eukaryota; kingdom Metazoa; phylum Chordata; class Mammalia; order Primates; family Hominidae; genus Homo; species Homo sapiens. The sequence goes on from NC_000016.10 coordinate 63,409,295, forward strand.
CTAGACTTCCATGTATGACCCATTGGCCAGAAATTGATCTCATGCTTATTCCCATTATGTTCTCAAGGACTAGGGAGGCAATGTGGTTATGATGACTAGTTCTTGTCACTGATGAGTTATCTAATGCACAGTAAGCAGAGATTCATTTCTTTGGAAATAAATGGGAATGTGTAAGAGAAATAATTCGTAGAGAAGAATGGTAGATGAAAATATAATGCCTAACCCAGAAAGTGTTTAACACATATGCCTTTTGTGGATAAGATGGCAAAGATTACAGTTCACAGAATCCTTAGTTTTCAATTGACATATAAATTACCTAGTATTTCTCATTTGGAGAGAAAGTACAATTTTGACGCGAATACATTTTTCAGAAAAGAAAATGTAAATTAGAATATATTTTAAAGTATGTGGATATTCAGTAAAATGTAAAATACATTCTGTAGGTAATAAATACAAGAGGAAAAGCACTATGAAAAATGGTCAATTTAAGTAGAAAATAAAAGAAGGAAATAAATGTGGCAAAAATAAAATTAAAATATGTAAAAATGAGTAAAATAATGAATTGTTAAATTAATTGTAAATGGATTAGAATTGCATATCAAAAGCCACTGATGGTGCTAAAATTTTTCATAATTCACAAATCTTTCAAGTTAAAAAATAACACATTTCAATGATTGAATAATATAGGCAAACAATAAACAAAGCTAAATTAGTTTTATAAAATTAATTTAATATTCAAGTTAAAAGCCTAGAAAAATAATTTGGAAAACTCAAATAATTGAGAAGAAAGAGTTAAGGCAGTTAGAGCGGATATTAATGTAATGAAAATAATAAAAATATAAAAATAGGCAATGCACAATCCAGTTCTTCCCCAAAAATAAAAACATATATATTTTACCTGAATTTATTTGAAGGAAACAGTAATCTTCAAACAAAATTCCTATTTTAACAAAAAATGAGATTTTATTTCACATCCTACATGTTAATTAAAATTAGTGGCCTGAAAATACAAAGTAATGTGGGAAATTTTGCTTACTATTTATGAGAGTATAAACTGAGTTAACTATTTTGCAGAGATATTTGAATCTAACACATGAAAAAGAAGATATTTAACATTCTTAATACCCATAAAATAAGAAAAATAACTTAAATCCTCATTAATAACAAATCAGTACATTCTGTGTGTGCCTATATGTGTGTGTTTTCTTGTCATCAACCATGTTGAAGAATCTATATAAATTAACAGTGCCATATTCCTTATATATTACTACTTTTACTTTTATGCAACATCCCTTCAAAACATTATGCTAAGTAATATAATCCAGACACAAAAAATATAACTTGTATGATCACACATGTGAGATATCTAGAATAGTCAAGTTCACAGAAACAGAATGTAGAATAAGGTGATGAGAGGCTGAGAAGAAGGCAGAATGAGGACAACTGCTTAATCGCTACAGAGCTTCTGTTTGGGTTGACTAAAAATTTTGGAAACTGATGATAATGATGATTGCACAATAATGTGACTATAATTAATGTCAGTATACTTAAAAATCATTAATTGGTAAATTTTGTATTTTACCACAATTGAAAAAAATGTCACTCAATGTGAACAATTTTGGCCATTTGGATAAATTTGACAATAGAGACATTGCTGATTTAAATAATTGAGGAGGTGCCATATATTTCTAAAATAAGATACATATGTGTTATTTTATATATAAGAACATAAAAATACATGTATATAAGAATGGTCCCCAACTTATGGTGGTTTGACATACTATTTTTCTACTTTATTGTGGTGCGAAATCCATATGCATTCAGTAGAAACCATACTTTGGGTACCCTTACAACCATTCTGTTTTTCACTTTCGCTACAACATTCAATATACTACATGAGATTTTCAACACTTTATTACAAAATAGGCTTTTCATTAGATTCTTTTGCCAAACTGTTGGCTAATGTAAATGTCCATCTGTAACCATGTCAGAGTGACAATATGACAATCAAAATAAAAGATGTGATTTTATTGTTTTCTTTAACATTTAACAATCACTATAAAAGGAAACACACTTTATTGTGAGTCAGGTGACCTAAATTTTTCTTTATTTTGCCACCAATTTGTTATGAGACAAAAGGCAAATAGCTTAACTCTCAGAGCTAAAACCCTTTCTCTAACATGAAATGTTGAACAAACATCACTGACTACTGTGGAATATGCCATATTCTCCAGGAGTTTAAAGTTACATAATTATATTTATCGTAAGAGAAAAAATTAATACAGCAAAGTTTTGTGAAAATATGTACACATTTTGTACAGTTATCTTCTGAGAGTGCATATTATGAATCAGATGTACAAAGAAAGAGAAAAATAAGAAAGAAAAAAAGAACTCCATTTACATTACCATACTTTTGACTCATATCACTAGCCACATGTGCTAGTTTTTCAAGTACTTTTGAAAAACTCAGAGACAAATTAGCTTCTTTATAAGCCAGAGGGCCAAATTACATGAGGAAACTGTTATGGACTCCATACGTAAAGGGGTGTTCTCTTAGTAAAAATATGTAAGCAGCTTCCTTGGAAGCTACAGCTATGTTCTTTGTTAATAACGTAGAAGTATGAATTGTTGTCACAAAAAATCTGCATAAAAAAACAAACACATTGACTCAATGGCATATAAGAATAATTTATTACTGAGTTATAGACCTGAAGATCAACTAGTGTGGCTCTGTTCCATGTATGTCATTATGAGGATTAGATTGGAGGAGCAGCAGCTACTCATGACATATTTTAAGGCAGTGGAAAAGGCTCAAGAGAGTAAGCCAAAATGCACAATTTACATATTTCTGTTAACATTCCATTGACCTAAACAAGTCACATGGCCAAGCCCAGTCTCCCAGGCTGGCTGGTGTACTCTTTGAACCATAAGACCATGGCAAGGATGTGGATTTACAATATTACCAAGGAAGCTGAAATGATTAGGTCCAATAATTAAATCTATCGTGTATGAAGAAGGGATACTAGTATCACACACTTTTTTTAGATTGTATTTAAGGTCCAAATCTAAAGCTTTCTCAATGAACAGTTTTAGATGAAATATTGCTTAAGACATAAATATTAACGTGCCTCATAAATAAAATTAATATTCATTGAGTACTTATTATGTTCTCTTTAATGTAAATGGCATTTATCAAAGATTTGTATGCTTTCCAATAACTCTGCAGGCAGGCCTTTTATTGTCTTTTTTGAGATGAGAAAATAGACAATATAATTTTAAGTGACCAATTTAGAGAAATAGAATATCTCAACATGTGTCAGGCAACGATCTCAATTTTTTTAACATGATCTAACTCATTTAATATGTATTAAACGTTTTTGAGGCAAGTGTCATTATCGCCCCTCTTTGGTTCATAAATAAATTGAGGCATAGAGAAGTTAAATGCCTTCTCAAGATTACTCAGGTAGCAAATCACTGAGTCAGGATTTAACCACAGGCAATGTGGCTACTGAATATGAGTTTGAAAACACAATGCAGGAGGTAGACTGGTCAAGATTCAAATACATAATCATCTTCCTTAAAAGCAAAGCAAAGAGCAACAAGTTGACAAGGACGTGAGGTAATTTTAATTTTGTCAAGTTTTTGTACGGATGAAAAGCAAATATTATGCATCATAAAGTATCCGAATCTTTTGAGGAATTAAAAAAAATTTTGAAGATGATGATTGTAAAGAAAAGCCATCAACACAATTGGAATGATTATACCTTTCTTTCTGTCTCTTTGTGTCAAAATAATAAAGTTCATTTTTGCTTTAATATTTAAAAAAAATAGAGGGACTTGTAGTTTCTTGCTATGTTGCTCTAACAATGAGAGTGTAGGAAAATATCAATTGCTGATCTCTGTATCCTGAGTAGGAAATCCCCCACTTCACTTGATGTCTGGGATCAGTGCCTAGTTTTGAAGCTAGACACCTGCTGTGATTGATACCTGGAGGTATGAGGTACAGATGTATTGTAGCATATATAAGGGGTGCAGGAGCCCTGGGCAATGTCATCCGACTTCTCACAGGTTCACAATTGGACAGTATATATTTTATACACACACACACACACACACATATAAAAACACAATTTATGTATGTATATGTTTACATATATACATACATACACACACACATATATATAGTGTCATTTTGATGGATGGGTTGCCATAGGAACAAAATGTGAAATGTCAGCATGGAGGGTTCATATTTAACCCATTCCCTGCCAGTCACATACTATAGTTCCCTGAATAATAATAAGCTAACAGCAGCAATCTTAATTATAAAATAATAATAGCTACCATTATACTAAGCATACTATAGGAAATATCTCTTTTAATCGCTCAACAACTCTTTAATTTGCTATTGATATACCTCTTTCACTGATGAGAAACCTATATCTAAGAATTACATTATCAAGAACATGCAGCTAGTAGATATTGACCAAAGTCTGGAAGAACAAGTTTAAGTAGCCTTGTGGATGGTAGACATAGCTGACAACAATAACCTAACTTAAGTAGACTCCAAGAATGACCCTGAATAGAAGATGCACCTGAATGTTGTGTGCTTAGAGTTCCAACCTAAGGAATCTGAGAATAGTCAACTCAGAGTATCTATGAGGATTATCTGAGCTCCTGGCCTGTTCTGTGAATGGTGGGACATACAAGAGAGCCAAGCTCTTTGTTTTGGGTTAAATGAAGGTTGCCAGCTGGAGGTTGTTAGGAGAGGGTGCTAAGTGAAAATGCCATATAAAGTGCATGCTTTTTGCAAGCAACTATGGTACTCTTGCCCCGCCGATCACCACTGGGCTATGTGGTTCCCCTGTCCAGCGTGCCTACACTGGATCTCCCTGTCTGTAAGTCTCCTGCTAATAAAACGTATGTCTCCTTTGTTGGCTCTGGGTCTCTTCTTAGGCCTTCTCAGCTTGGCATCATCCCTGTGGGAGCTAACAGGGGGCACAACAACTTTTATGCTATGCTATGCCACATCCTATAGGTGAACCATAATCTCTTAGCTCTTGGTGTTAGCACATGATATTTCTCTGGTGGTTAATTTCCTCCTTTATCTCCCACTACCTCTTTATCATGAGCAATTTAACATTACCTCTAATATGCATTTCAACTTACCATAAGACTGGGTTACCTGTTTCTTATACCTGTTAATATTCCTTAGCTTCCCTGCGAGAAATAAGTTCCTTGACAGCAGGCACTATGTCAACATTGTAACTTCTGTGCATTATAAGTAGTGGCTTAACCCATACATTTTAAGTACACTACTACCATGGAATTACGATGGCAGCTATTACATAAATCCTTGCCATGATCCATGTCAGTAACATACTTGTCTCTAATTCTCATAACAGTCCAGCAAAGGAAGCATTTTTTAACATTATTTTACTACTGCTGTGATGACTATTTATATCAGCACTTTATAAATGAGAGTATAGAAGCTCAGAGAGGTTAAGTAACTAATTCTCGTTCACAGTACTCATAATTGACAAAGCTAAACAAATTTGGTAACTCCGAATGCTATCAAAATGGCCTTTGGATTTGCCCTACTAATGTCAAGTGATTTAACCACGATGCTTTTAATTTTGCTTGAATTGCTTCTGTTGCCCTGTTTTAGCCCTAAGTTGGTGCTATTGGGAGAGAGAAGAGAGAATCTCTGTTACAAGATCCTTTGTGAAAGCAGTCTAAACTTTTATGTCCTCCTGCAGTTTCCTGTATTTGCATAATTATTTTGGCTCTGCTGCCCCTATTGAATATCTCTCCCTCTCTCTTCCTAAAGTTCAAGAACAGGGGCAGATGCCCATGTGCACACTCCATTCAGGAGTAGCCCTTGGCCACCTTATTTCTGGGTAGCTTTTGTTGTGCTCATCTGTTCAGGAAGCCTGACTGTACAAGGGCTCATTTGCTGGTTAATTGCATTCTCAGCTCCTCTAAGAATGTCGGCACACCTGCTCTCCACTTCACTGTCTCTTTTGATCTCTCTTGAAATACTCAACTTTGATTATGTGAAAATCTTCTGTAACTGTAATACGTGCCTGGAAAGCAACTAAAACCTTCCATTGTGACTATTTTGACCTGAAAAAGAGGCTATTTTAGGGCCTGTGTGTGGTGACAAGATAAAACAAAAGAAAATAATGTATCTTATTGTCTCCATAATCCAGTTCAGGAAGTAGGATTTGATTCATCTGATGTTTGGTAAATTTTAAACAGATGTGAATTGCAGAGTAAACACATCTTTAACAGGTTTTTAAACAGTGGTCTACCATAAATTTCTATTTTTCCAAGCAATTTTTTTATTTATGTACTTATCTTTATTTTATTAAAAAAGTTTTTTAGAGACAGGGTCTTCCTCTGTGGAGGGCAGTGGTGCCATCATAGCTTATTTTAACCTGGAATTCCTGGGCTCAAGCAATCTCCCACCTCAGCTCCCTGAGAAGCTGTGATTACAAGTGTGTGCCATCATGACTGGTTAATTTATTTTGCAGAGATGGGGTCTCACTATGTTGCCCAGGCTGGTCTTGAACTCCTGGCCTCCCAAAGTGCTGAGATTGTGGGCACAAGCCACCACACCCATGCTAAGCAATAATTTATTACTTCTAGGAAATTGAGGAAAACACAAATATAACTTTATTTTTAAATAAATAATACAGGTGAAAAAGAAACCAAATGAGAAAAAATAATCATAAAGCAATCAACACTGTCCTCAGAACAATCCTATGGAGCCAAATAAACCTATGCTGGAATTGTCATCTATTTGTTTTTTTGATTTTTATATAAACTTTTCTAACATCACTAATTCCATTTGTATTCTCAATTGTTCATGTCTGAGTTCTCTCACCCTATTCCACTTTTCTCCACATGCCCACTAGACAAGTATTCCTTTTACAGAAAAGCATTGTATTAGTGTCCGTTATACATTTTAGAAATCATTCAATGATCCCTCCATCTCAGGGCTTGGTACAAAGTGGGACCTCAATAATTGTTTTAGGAACAACAGAAAAGATACTCAATTACCAAGGATTAGGTATATACTATTTCATTTATTTATCAAGACATCTTGAACATCTATTATGCGTGAGACACTATGCTCAATGCTAAAATGGTAACTTAGGGCAATTTAAAAAGTCACCAAAGGTTGTCAAAAAGCCTTTACATTGCTATTGCTTAAATTTCTTATTAGGTATTCATGTCCAGTTATGAAGACAACTTAAGTATTTACATACTTATATGTAAATATATGTTGCTTTCTAAATTACAATAGCAATGTTGGTGACTGGAGCACACAAAAGGACATTTCTGTGAGGATTGTCATTGCACTTAACAAGTACCTCATGAAAAATATCCTTTTTATTCATGAGGTGGTTCAGATGGGTTAGAGAAGGTAAATGTTTTATGTATACCATCTCGGCAATACTTGTAAAATGAAATAATTGTGAAAGTTTGTGTTATTCTCTTTCTTTGGCAAAGAGAGTTCAATATATTCATCACATCATTAAATCTTAGGATTAGAAGGGATATTGGAAAGCAGTGAGTTCAACTGCTCTCTGATATTTGAATTTCGACCACACCCATAATTTGAATACTCTGGCGACAGTCAAAACCCACTAACTTGTAATTCAGCCTGTTCTAGTTTGTGTCAGTTTGTTCAAGAAATTTTGATTTCTTCCTTTTATTGCCAGTTCTAACTTGACATTGTTTACATATGAAGATGACAAAGATATTTTATAAGACTTCGGATATCATGTTCATTCTAGAAGCTCTAAGATTCTACTTCTACCCCCAAATAAATGTTGCTAAATTTGATTCAAGTACTTTTAAAAAGGAAATAGTTTTCTGGCTGGAAACAGACCTTTCATTGTTTAAGCTCCTTTACAGTTTACTGAAATAATATAACCATCAATGGGAATTTACACTTTCAATTTTAGATTAACCAGATTTTTTATAAGGTGACTATCCAAAGTCATTAAACTAATAGTTGTTATATCTCTAACACACTTATTTTCCTCCCAGAGGTAATGCATCTTATTTCCCTTTGGCACATGGTTCTCTCTTGTTCTTTCAGAGTTTCTAATTAGGCCATCTGTTTCAAAATTAGTCAAGCATTGGGAATGGATTTAGTTTTGTTTGTATTTGCTTGTCTGTTTTATTTTCATTGATGACATTTTCAAGATGGCTTCCTCTTCTGGTAACCCGAGACCATTCGTTGCTCTTTTGAATGAAGATAAAGATCTTTCTCAATCACTATTCTTTTCTACAGACATCAAGTGAAATGTGGGTCATCCCATTTCTCATTCAATAAAAAACTTTTTGCAAGAGTGTCTAAAATGTTATATGGAAAACAAAAAAGAGGCAAGAGGCTTCACATAACGTCAGCTGGGTACACAGGAAAGAACAGAGTAAATCTTAGTCATTTTTGAGAAGACAGTTATTTGACTTGTTTACAAAATAATATGACCTTTTCTCCTCTTTAAATATTATGAAGTTGAAAAGTTACTTAATATGGCTATATATTTTTACCTACCCACGTGCAGTGGAAAGAGGTAGAGATTGAAATTCATGATGCTGACTGTTAGGGCACTTTCATAGTATCTGCCTGAACTTGGTCAGGTTACTTCAACTCTTGACTCCTCAATTTCTCTATTAGGAGAGATGAGGGGTACATGGTTTTCTCTGAGCTCATCTGAAGGTACCTCTCACTATCTGTCTCTCAGGGCTACTTTAATAATTATATCAGCTTAATTTTTTTTAAATGTTGCTGTCAGGTTCCAACTCGAGCTGGGGTCCAAGGGGAGTTGGTGGAAGGGTGGCGGGTAGCTGAATGAACACTCGAGGCAGTTGGGACCTGGTTTTATTCTCCCGCCTACAGAGTCAGCAGTACAGTACAATAGTGACTCAAAGCCAGGTATGAGCTCACACAAACAGGTTACATTAAACGGCTACATAAATGTGATTATGTAAAGCGTGGGGTTGTGTGCCTGCACTTCAAACCCAGTGTGTCATACTGTACCGGATGTCCACCTTGGCCTACTCCTGACTGAAGTTCAGCCATTTTCCTTACAGCTGCCATCATGGAATTTTAACAGTTAAAAGCAGGAGTTTATTTTGTATATCACAACTCAAACACATTCCATATGTTTTTCCAGTGTATGTAAGAAGGGACAGTGTCTTATTGGTATCCAGGGAAAGACTAGGCTTTTCTGCCCACTTAGCTAGTATTAAAACTATAATAAAGAGTTTTTGTGAAAATGGTCACTAGATTTATTGTTGGAGGCTTATGAAATAAAAGGCCTGTAGCATATGACCATTTGCTATTTTTTATCTTCATTTCTTCTTTTTTCCTCAGACAATGAACATCACAAAATCTTTCTGCTGGAAGAGCTAGTTCTGGTCACTGTGATACCTGGGCTGTCATTTGCTTTAAAACCTGGATTGGTTAGAATGAATAGATTTGTCTTTGCCGATGAAACAAATGTCAAACTTTAAAAAGCCTTTTCAGCTATAGGCTTTTCATAGAATAAGCTACCTCTGTCAGGAATTCTTCTCTCACTACCACATATTCCAGTATTTTCTCTAGTCACAGGCTCTCTACATTGTAGACATAGGTATGCCCACTTCTCAAAATTCCATTAGTGAAACATTTTAGTTAATTTGCAGAGGGATTTTCACAAGCAAGTCCTAAGAAAATGAAAACATTTTAGTCATACACAAAGGTAGACAAAAAGGCTCAGAGAAAACATGTATTTCTTTCCCAGTTTTGGTAGTTAAGAATATTTTGCCAATCCAAGGCATATTTTGCTTCTTATTTCTGGAAAGAATGTGCTTTTCTATTCTCTAGCCCTTTGAGGCTTGTTATAAGAAAAGGAAAGACATAAAATGGCAGGAAATTTGTACTGGATGCTATCAGGCTAATCTAATAATAATGTACTTCTGAAAGGGAATCGTGCTGGTAATAAAACTACATGCATTCTTCAAATGTGAATTCACCCTTTTTGTTTACTGTAAAGGTGATGTGACTGTAGGTAAATTACATCCCGATAACCTATTTTAAAATAGTTAAATAAGGAAGAATAGAGGCAGCAACGAGTGGCACCAAGTGTATATGTAGGTGAGAAGACAGTGAATTTAATTGCATTTACTTGAGTAGTGCCCTATTATGTCCATACTTGACATGCTCTTTGGGCAACGATTTCCTCTCGAAACTACTAAGACAGGCAGCTTTCCTCAGATGTAACCTGGCAGTACCTTAGCTATACCAGGGCTTACTCCCCCAGAGCTTCTTTGATACTGCAGTTTTGGACACAAGCAGGCTCTCAGTCAGCACTGCAGCACTCACTAATCTGGAAACACAGAAAATGTAACACCTTATTTGACAACTCTGGACCAAAAAGGGATGAAAGCTATCGAATCAATGCATGTTACTTCCATCTCTCAGGAGGACAATTTTGAAGCTCATACTTACTCATTCTCATTTATCCTCTAAGTCTTTAGGGAGATGTGATCCCCAATGGCCAAAAGCACTACACATCTCCACAAAGCTCATTGTAAAATGGCTCTTCTTCTTTCCCACCTCACCCTGTCCAGTCACCTCCTCTCTTTCCCTGGCATAGGTTTCCCACATCAACATTGTTTCTGAAAGCTCTGACTCAGGTTCTGCTTCCTAAGGATTAACCCAGTCTATGGCAGAACGAGAAGGCTATTAACATGCATTGCAAGCTGATTACATCCTCATATGTTTTTAAAATTTGTATACATTAATTAATCAATTCCCACAGTATTACGGGGGTAATATTATTCCTTCTTATCAAACTTAGCAATTGAAACTTAAAGAGGAAAATACTTATCAAGGGCTAAGTAATATATTCTTTTGACATTAAGCTCAGTTTTTTTTTTTTTTTCACAAAAAGCTCACTTTTTTCACAAAAGTAAATTGTTTCCTATGAATGTAGACCTTTTACTCAGTCATTAAGTTACTCTTAACCTGACAATTAAATCTCTTTCTTAAAAGAAAAACAGAAGGTATTCCTAGTAGGCATTAATTTCAAAAAGTGATTACATGAATTACCCCCTCTCCCAGATAAAATTCAGCATGCATAATTGTCTCACAAGTTTCCATATTGATGGGAATGGTTTAAATTTGTTATTACTCCCAGTAGCCCTGGCAACTTACCTTAATACAGATTAAGGTATGTATCCTTGGTTAGATTCCTACTTTTGGCTTATCACTGAGCAACATTAATAATATATCTCAGTAGACAGCTTAACAGCTTATAAAAATGTTAAAATCCAAATTAATATATAAGGCATACTAAGACTGAGAGAAGTTAAGTAATTTATTGAAGGCCTCCATTGCTAATAAGTTGCAGAATGAGAAATCAATGCCATGTCTCTCTTGCCCAAATTCTGTGTTCTTCCTAAGCTTTGAAAATTGGCTTAATTTGAATCAACTATGACAGCATCTGGAGTTGACTGTTAGGGAAGCTATCTTCAATACAGAAAATATATATAAAAATCCTGTAATATTGTAAAAGGTAAGAACTTGCAATAACAATATTCTAAATTTTGAGATTCTAAAATACATTTAACCCATTATATTTACTTCCAAATTATCTTATTTCTGGTTTGTTCATTAGCGTTGCAAAATGAAACTACTTCTAATGCACATAAAAACCTTATTGTAGCCAAAAATATCCCTGTTTGGAGTTTATAAAAGTAATAATGAGAGTTAGGGTTTATCTTTCCTTACTCAATAAGTGGGTCACTTAATAGCCTCCTCAACCTTCTACATTATTTTAGGGATTTCAAAGAACTTCTGAGTAATAATTTGAGTCTCATAATAATCCTGTGTTGTTGTTGATTATTATTCCCATTTTACAAATGAAGAAATGGATCCTCAAAGAATATGAACATATTTAAGCATTAAAAATTTGGTTCAGTTTATTCAAAATAACAATGGTATTAACTACCTTCATATGTTGAATATTAGAAAATGGTCAGTTAGTATATTACCTGTTATTGATGTAGGCATGGCTGGCTTTTTGTATCTATGGCAAATTATTTTATTTCTAATGCCATTTAACTGTCATAGATAGATGGGTTTTCACTGGCACAGTGCAAAAGATAAGGGAAAGGTGTCAGAATTGTGGATGACAATAAGAATTTTTAAAAATGCAAATGTTTGGGATCCTTAGGGAAATGGCTAGTAATTTAAAAGTGTCTAACAGGTTGAACAGGCTCAACTGCACTCAATCAAATAGGCAAAACTGTAATGGTTACATGAAGATAAATTATAGTATTAGGAGAAAGGGGCATATTCCAACTTTTCTGTTATAAGAAAACAGAATATCAGGCTACTACTAGCCAGGTAGACTTAATGTCAATTCCAAGAGTACCATTCTAATTATGATAATCATCAATAATTAAATACTTATTTTGAATTAGGTAAATCACTGAGCAATGGTACATATCTGACACATTAAGGCCCATAGACACCTATACATTAACTTTATCATAGCATATGTTTTGTACCTTCAATGTGATAGACTCCTTGAGGTAAGTAATTCTTGTCATCATCATCAAACTACATGTAAGTCAATAGAAGCTAAGAATTGTTATGGGACGTTTCAAGTTTATTCAGTTTCTAAAAGGCAAACCAAGACTCAAAACTATGATCTTAACTATATACCATGCTTCCTCTAGATGAAGAGAACTAGAGAATTCCATTATAAACAAAAGCAGTAGCACCCTAAGCTTGAAGACTGGGTCTTTATGATTCAGGTACACCATGGGTTATGTAATTAATTGTGCGATTGTAGTATCCTGTCTCACATTAGAATACCAGATACTGCACCTAAGATAATGAGACCAAGTCCAGATCCACCTCTCTTAAATTCACTCACTCCCAACATGAAACAGTATAGATGGAATTACTAAAATATTCCTTGCATTTGTCACAATTCCCTTAGAATTTAAAATGACTAAAATTTTAGAGCAGAGCATTAATATCTACACTCTAGTAAACCTGAGTGAACCAATTGCTCTAAATAGGATAGGCTTTCAAACAGTGAAGAAGTATAGCAATTTCTCTGATTATTCTCTAAGCCTCTCAATTGAGTAGGCAAAGTGAGAAATTAAAGCTTGGGCTATTTAGTCTCTTTTATATAATATTCATTAAGATTTTAAGTGCCTATAATAGATTTCTTTGTTAGCATTTTTCATTATCTTTTCTTTACGGTCATTCTTCTTTCAGTGTTTAATCTATGTGACAGTCCTTGAAGCTAAGGTAATTTGGATTAAATTTTCAAGCAAGATCTTTTTGTGTGTGTGTGTGAATTCCTATCAACTTGTTTTATTATGATCAAGATATTTTACATCCACTCTATTCCTTTATCCGCTAATTTACTGACTTTATTGAAAAAGCAATCAAGTTTGTCTGGCATAACATGTTCTTTATAAATTTAGCATAGCCCCAGAGAATGTAATCTGCTATTTATTAACAAAGCAGGCAACAGAAGCACAGGCTTTTTTTTTTTTTTTTCCAGACTCCTCCAGGGGACTGTTGCAGAGACTGATTTCTGGTTTGAAAGAGGAATTCACAGTCTGTTCTCTGTAAAGGGGTAGGACTCCGGAGGCAAGGGTAAATCTCTTCAAGCTCACACAGAAATCTCATTTTTTTTTTTAAATGGAGCAGATTTATAAGGGACTATATCCCAGAGGTAAAATCAAGGGCCTTGAAGTGTCATAGATGTAGCATCTGAAATTCTGAAAGGTGGTCATAGCTGAAGCTCACAGTCAGATCCCAAGCTTGAAGTCAGCCTTGTTGGAACTCTAGGGGACCAGAAAGGGCCTGCCATCTGTCACACATTTTACATATTAACCTTTTAATTGGCTTCATCATATTTTTACTCCCTGGAATTGTTTAGCTCAATTTCCTCTAAAAAACAAAACAAAACAAAACAAAAACCTCATTTTGTTAAATGAATATTTAAAATCCTCCTATTTTTTCTTTGTTTTCATTAGTCTAAGGAATAACATAATTAAATAAATGCACAAAAATAATGTCTTAAACTCCTGGTAAAACAAGAAGGTTTATATGTAGATTAAATGAATGGGTAATATGAAAAAGCCTGTAAAATTAAGTACCATTTCCCTAATTTTAGCCTATAGAGAGATTATTTGTTTAAAATGCAAAATTTTGGGTTCCATTCACATAGATTCTGATTCAGCAGGTTAAGAAATGGAAATATGCCTTAAAAAACTTGAGGTGACCCAACTCCTACACTTTTAGAAAAATAAAAAAAAAGTTATAAAGTGCTATTGAATTGGAAAAAAACTTATTATATTAATCAATTAATTTTAATTTTAAAATTGCCAAGTCCAAATATATCTATTGTGCCCACTTAGATACACACACACAAACACACACACACACCCATTGACCATATGTTGCTTCCTGCTGTGAGAGTATAATCATTAACATTTTTAAGGGGTCTTGGAGGCTTAGAATACCCAAGGTGTGGCATGCCTAAAAGTGATGCCTAGTATTTCCACTGTCCTTTTGTCCAGAGCCTAGTCATATGGCTCCAACCTAATTATAGTGGAAAACTTGGATATATAATCTTCCTCTGAGCCTGGGATGAAGATTGGTGAATAATTTGTCCCCGTTTCTACCAACATCCTGAAATAAACTAGATCTACATATTTCTATAACTAAGATCCAGTTCACACTCTGAGTATAAAAGAAAATATAGAACGACTATAGAATCATGAAATACTGGGTCTTGTAATACTCTTTAGAGATAATCTAGTCAGATATCAGCATTTTAATAATGGGATTCTATTTCTATACTTAGGAATTCAAGTGGGGAAAATAATATCAAAATTAAAAAACAGAAAGCTGAAAAAAATACAAATCCTTTGACTAAAGATATTATTTCAGAAAAAAAGACATAATTATATATCCATTTAAAGTAGGTAAGGTGAATAAGTTCAATTTTGTATTTTATGTTTCAAATGTTTAGATTACTATGAAAATGATCAAAAGCTTATGTTCATACAACAAGAAAGAATTTAATTGCATAAACTCTTTAAAGTAGTTTGAACTCCATAAAGTGATATGTATTTTCCAGTGGAGAGTTAGAAGATAATAAAATAGACCATGCATCTGTTACTTTTACATTACACCTAGAGCTAACATTGTATAATAAAAAAAATAATGGATTTCAGGTTACAGCTTCAATATGTAAAGAGCTGCCCACCTTTACAGCAACAACAAAAAATTACACAAGCTGAAAATCGACTTTTCTCAGACACACCAGAGAAGTAAGTTCTCAGGGAAAACTGCCACAGTGTACTCTGGAGAAACAAACACAGCTAGAGAGATATTGTGATCCACTTACCAGGGGTAGAAGCTGCTAGGTCCACAAACTGCTAGCAACAAATCCTTCCTAATGTCAATGAATTGCTAGAGTGAAGGGTGAACTAGTCTGAAAGTGAGAGTCTCCCAGGGCTATATGGGTGGGCAGTCTTAGGAGGGCCTCCATACCTTCCTGCGCTCTATCACCAGAAACTTCACCAGTGGATAATTCACAAATATCCCCTCCTGGCTCTAAAAACAAAAGAGGAAGAGTAATCACGGTGAAAATACACTAATAACCTTCTCCTTAACAAATGCGTACTCTCCAGAAGAAAGTTCTATTTCATAAAATCATCCAGCCTAGGAGAAGGGAACCCCACTCCAACCCCTTCCAGCCTTGCTGTCTTACCGAGGAAAGGGGCAAAGTCACAGTCAACAGGGTTGTTAGTTTCAAAGATAATTGATTGAGAATGCTACAGTCAAAGAAAGGGGTAGATAGTGGGTGCAAAAAAAGAAGCCACATCTCTAAAGAGAAAATTGTGAAGGTCACACTGGAGACACAGTTCCACTAAAAGCTTGAGAGTTAATCAGAAGTTTGTGAAATACTCTTCCACCCCCACATCTTACTTCTACACTAATAGGACTCCAATATGGTTATGGTGGATTATAGATGAAAAAGCTTCAAGCTACAGACTATCTCTAAGGAGGAGGAGGACTTAGGAAACTCCAAAGGCAACAGGGAAAACAAAAAAGAATGGAAGGAAGCAAAGAAAGGAAAAGGAAGAGAAAAATAAACGAAGAAAAGAAAAACTTATGAAAATTTGAATCCTCTGACAACTACAGCTACATCAAACTTGAAATACAGTGCAATTCCTTATGGTCTGTTCTTTTAATCCCTATCTCTTCTTTCACCAACACCACAGTGTCTTACTCTATAAGTCTTGTGGTGGTGTAATATGAATTTTCCAACTTAATCTTAAGCAATAATCAATACAAATTCGTTGTATTTTGCCATCTCATATAAATTTTTGAATTATTTAGTAAATAGCTACAAAAATACTTGCTGGTATTTTAATTTGGATTGCATTGAATCTATATATCCATTGGGTGAAAACTGACATCTTAACAGTACTGTGTCATCCAATGTATGAACATGGGATATTTATCCATTTACTTAGAATGTACTTGATTTCTTTCTTCAGAGTCGTGTTATTTTTCCTCACATAGATTATGTTATATATGTTGTCATACTTAAATATTTCTGTCTTAAAAAATTGAATTCTAATTATGTATTGCTAATGTACAGGAAAACAATTGACATTTACTTATTGATTTTTCATCTTGCAACCCTATTATTACTCACTTAAGTTGCAGGAGGTACGTCTAGAATGTTTGGCTTTCTACTGAGACAATCATACCATCTGTGAATGAAAACAATTTTATTTATTTCTTCCTGTCTGTTTGGTACACCTTTTATTAGTTTTTCATCTTCTTTCTCTAACTATTATTTTTAGTCTCCAGCTAATTTCTAGTACAGTGTTGTGCGGCATTGGGGAGCAAGGGCATTCTTGCATATCTGGAATAAATTCTACTTAGTTGTAGTAGATAATTCTTTTGTATACATATTTGGATTTTAGTTGCTAATTTTTTTTCAAAAATTTTTATATCTATGTTCTCGAGAGTTATTTATCTGCAGTTTTCTTTTCTTATGTCTTTATCTTGTTTTGGTATTAGGCAATGTTGGAATCACACTGCAGGAAATGTTCCCTCTTGGTATTATATTTCCTTAAAATGTTTTGCTGAATTAGTGAAAACATCTGGGCTTGGTGCTGCTTTTTTTTTGAAGGATAATAGAAGTTTTGAGCCAATTTTTTTTAAGGGACTGAGGCAATTTTAAGAGCAGGAGTGAAGGTTTATTAAAAAGCTTTAGAGCAGAAGTGAAAGAAAGGAAGTAAAATACACTTGGAAGAGGGCCAAGTGGGCAACTTGAGATATCAAGTGCCAAGTCCATTTCCTTAATAGATAATGACTATTTGGGTTATCTGTATCGCCATTATGTGAGTTTTGAAGATTGTCTCAGTAATTTGAACTATTTAATCTAAATTATAAAATACGTGGGCAAAGAGTCATTCATAAAATTTCTTTACCCTTTTAATGTCTAAGAAAGCACAAGTGATAAGATCTCTTATTTTAATATTAGTGATTAGACTTTTTCTCTCTTTTTGTTATTGCTAGCTTGGGTAGAGATTTATCTTGTTTTCTAATACTATCTTTCCGGATGAAGAACCCAGTATTCATTTGGAAAAATAAATGATTCTAGGACTGATACAGGAAATATACCTGTGAGCCTGGATTATCTTGTTATGCTAAAAGTTAGGAAGTGCTTAAAAAACAAAACAAAAATAAACGGGACAACTTTGGTTACATCGAAAGGATATAGGAGCACACTAGAAGAGCCCCCAGTGATCAGAGACAGAATAATATAAGCAATAACATAAATAAGATAGCATCGGATTGCAACTCAAAGTATAAAATAAATCCATATGTCTATGTTGAGATAAATAAGGTGTCAAGTGAATAAATAAATGAAGGGAGGGGGAGAAGAGACAAATCATGCAGAAGAATTTAGAATAATTTTGGAAACACCAGATCCTCATGGAAGAGGACCACAATTCCTCACTGCTTAAGCGTGCTGCACATCATGCCTTCCTTCCAGTGAACAGGTGGAAATGGGGATAAAAGAGTAACTTGATAAATGAAGAAGCCTCACAAACACTATATCAGCCAGGTGGTAATGTCAACATCAACAATGTTAAATCATGGTAATAGTATGTACCTTTGACATGATGCAGTGAAAATGGAATGTTACTTCTGTTGTCTTCCTCCACAAAACCTCCATTCCCAGTCTAACGATAAGAAAAACATCTGGCGAACCCCAGTTGGAAGACATTCTAAAAGGTAATGACCAGTACTCAAACGGTTTAAAGTCATCAAAGCAAGGAACGTCTGCAAAAGTATCACAGTGAAGAAGTACCCAATAAGACACGATGACTAAATGAAATCTGGTATCCTAAATATCCTAAATGGGATTCTGGGACAGAAAAAATGACATTTAGTAAAACCTAAGGAAATCTTTACAAAATATGGGCCTTTATAATGTATAAGGATGGGCTTATTAATTATGAAAAATACACCATGGTAAAGTACAGTATTAATAACAATGGAATTTGGGTGTGGAAAATGTGGTTACAGGTTGAATTAGAGAGAGAGAGAGAGAGAGAGAGAGAGCATTAATATAAAATGTCCTCAAAGGTTAGAAAAAAAAATGGTTACAGCAAATTGTGTACCCTCTCTACAGCATCTTCACATTTCTGTAAATCTAGACCTATTCTGAACTTGAACTTAGCCAAAAGGCTGAGAAGCAATCTAGATCTTTTCTGAAAATAAACTGTATTAAAATGAACTTGACTTATTTTATTTCATTCTCTCTAGGGCATTTATAACATACTTTGCTGCAACTAATTTTTTCCAGCCTTCTAGGACATTTCTTATTAGTGTTCTCTCTCTCTTCTTCTCTACCTCTTAACACATTTTTACCCTCTAATTCAACCTGCAAATACCCCCTCGAAGGCATACAGATAATTTTAAAAATCTTAGAATGAGTCGAGAACTTAAAATTTGGTTCTTAGCCACTGCCCAGTGTTTCCCAGTGGTTCCTGGGAGTTCCTCCTACAGAGAAAGATGAGAAAGATGGGCACATATAAGAACATAATCACAGCTAAATGTCCCTTAAGTGCAGTTCTTCTGTCACTGATGTTCTGCAATAGCTCATTAACACCCAAAGGGACAGGGTCTGTTGTGAACCAATTGAAGCAACCATCAAAAGTCCGTTATGCTACCCAAGCAGTATTCAAAGCTCATCTGTGTTCTTGAGAATTGATTCTTCATAGAATTCTGCCTGACTCTCAGATGGCCAACTTAATGTTAAGAATGGAGATCAAATGGTATTTCTAGTTCTAGATCCTTGAGGAATCACCACACTGTCTTCCACAATGGTTGAACCAGTTTACAGTCCCACCAACAGTGTAACAGTGTTCCTATTTCTCCACATCCTCTCCAACACCTGTTGTTTCCTGACTTTTTAATGATCACCATTCTAACTGGTGTGAGATGGTATCTCACTGTGGTTTTGATTTGCATTTCTCTGATGGCCAGTGATGATGAGCATTTTTTCATGTGTCTGTTGGCTGCATAAATGTCTTCTTTTGAGAAGTATCTGTTCATATCCTTCGTCCACTTTTTGATCTAGAACTAGAAATACCATTTGACCCAGCCATCCCATTACTAGGCATGTACCCAAAGGATTATAAATCATGCTGCTATAAAGACACATGCACATATATGTTTACTGTGGCACTATTCACAATAGCAAAGACTTGGAACCAATTCAAATATCCATCAATGATAGACTGGATTAAAAAAATGTGGCACATATAGAATACTGTGCAGACATAAAAAAGGATGAGTTCATGTCCTTTGTAGGGACATGGATGAAGCTGGAAACCATCATTCTGAGCAAACTATCGCAAGGACAGAAAACCAAACATCACATGTTCTCACTCATAGGTGGGAATTGAACAATGAGAACATTTGGACACAGGGTGGGGAACATCACACACCGGGGCCTGTTGTGGGGTGGGGGGAGAGGGGGAGGGATAGCATTAGGATATATACCTAATATAAATTACGAGTTAACGGGTGCAGCACACCGACGTGGCACATGTATACTTATGTAACAAACCTGCATGTTGTGCACATGTACACTAGAACTTAAAGTATAATTAAAAAAAAGAAAAAAAAGAGAATGGAGATCAGATGATTGTTCTCTTTGCTGTACTTTCCCCTGTGATCATTTGAAAACAAACATCAAAAAAGTGTTACTTCCCAAAAGGATATTTGTTTTCTACAACTCCGTACATTTAAGCCAGCTTACAGGCCATGCTTCTGCTAATATTTGGCATTTTATATTAAACTTGGCACTTCTAGACCCCAAAAGCCTTCCAATATTCAAAATCTGGCTAGATAATATATTGCGGTCTCAATATCCTTACCTGGGAAATGAGATACAATGAGTGTTTATGTGGAATAACTGAGATAATTTATGTAAATGGGTTACACCAGTACTAAGCACTTTATGAGAATGTAATATTACGTTAGTGCAAACGTAATTGTGGTTTTGGACCATGAATTTTAAATCATTATAACTAGGCTCCAACTCATCTTTATTAATCAAAATAGGAACCATTACAACCAACACATTTTTGCCAATGAGAAATAAGTTTGTTTATTCCAGTATAGCCCCTGCAAAACGTTCTCAAGATGCTTAAAGAAGTGGTAGTCAGTTGACAAGAGGTCAGGTGAATATGGCGGATGAGGCAAAACTTCACAGCCCAATTCATTCAACTTTTGAAGCGCTGATTTTGCAACGTGAAATCGAGCATTGTCATGAAAAATTGTGCCCTTTCTGTTGATCAATGCTTGCTGCAGGCATCACAGTTTTTGATGCATCTTATCGATTTGCTGAACATAATTCTCAGATGTAATGGTTTCACCGGAATTCAGAAAGCTGTAGTGGATCAGACTGGCAGCAGACCACCAAACAGTGACCATGACCTTTTTTTGATGCAGGTTTGACTTTGGGAAGTGCTTTGGAGCTTCATCTGGGTGCAACCACTGAAGATTTTTCTTGCTAGTTGTCAAATAAAATCCACTTTTTATCACACATCACAATCCGATGGAGAAATGGCTCATTGTTTTTGCGTAGAGTAAGAGAGACACTTCAAAACGATGATTTTTTTTTATTTTTCACTCAGGTCATGAGGCACCCACTTATCGAACTTTTTCCCCTTTCCAATTTGCTTCAAATGCTCAACAACCTTAGAATGGTCGACCTTGAGTTCTTCAGCAAATTCTCCTGTAGTTGTAAGAGGATCAGCTTTAGTGATTCCTCTCAATTGGTCCTTGTCAACTTCTGATGGCCGGCCACTATGCGCCTCATCTTCAAGGCTCTTGTCTCCTTTCCAAAACTTCTTGAACAACATCTGCACTGTACATGCATTAGCAGTTCCTGGGCCAAATGCGTTATTTATGTTGCAAGTTGTCTCAGCTGCTTTACAACCCATTTTGAACACGAATAAAAAAATCGCTAGAATTTGCTTTTTGTCTAACATCATTTCCATAGTCTAAAATAAACAGCAAGTAATAAGTCATTAACTAAAAATCATAAAGTAAGAAAGGCCCATTAAAATGATATATAACATAACCATATTTATTTAAGAGTGTATTCCAATATAAAATGGCAAATTCCAACAATGCAAAAACCACAATTACGTTTGCACCAACCTAATAGCTATTAGTTTTCAAATAACTTGACACAATTGCTCATGCTTCTGTTTTATCCTGGCCAAACATCTTCTATTGCAGATTCTGCCAAAATTCTGCTACTCATCTCTCCATATGTAAGTATAGAGGGACTATGGTATTTGGTTTATATGACATTCAAAATTGAAATAACCTACTCAGATATTTAGTTGGAAGTTCACCTAATTTTTTGAACATCAGTTACAGGTCTTTTAGGCAGAGCCATATCTGAGTGGAAAAACTGGATGTAGTCATCCTCTTGGTGTGTCTGAATGCCACAGTTGCAGAGGTCATGCACTGAAGAAAGTTTATTACTACAGTAATATTTTGTAAAAGTGGCTTACAAATACAAACATATTAGTTTTTCAGTCTTCCTATGCTTTTGTAGTTCCTATGTATCCTCACAACCCTTTATACTATTAGCTTCTTTCTTTCTCTCTCTTTCCCTCCCTTCCTCCCTTCCTTCCTTCCTCTCTCTCTCTCTTTCTTTCTTTCTTTCAAGTCTCACTCTGTCACCCAGGCCGCAGTGCAGTGGCACGATCTTGGGTCACTGCAACCTCCGTATCCCAGGTTCAAGTGATTTTCCTGCCTCAGCCTCTCAAGTAGCTGGGATTACAGGAGTGCACAACCATACTCAGCTAATTTTTATATTTTTTGTAGAGACGGGGTTTCACCATGTTGGCCAGGCTGGTCTCAAACTCCTGACCTCAGAGGATCTGTCCACCTTGGCCTCCCAAAATGCTGGGATTACACTTGTGAGCCACTGTGCCCAGCAGCTTTTATTTTTCGTATTTTATTTTAATACTTGAAATATTTCCACGAAGTCCTTAGAAATTCCCCAGGAAAAAAAGCACAATACAACTTATTTGTATTACTACTTAGGCAACTCTAAAAACATTTACACATTTTGAGACAACAATGTGATAAAGCTTGAAAGTTCATAAAGGCCTACTTGTATATCAAATAATTAAATTCAGCAGAACTTGTCTGTCCATAGGTAGGTATAGAACCACAAAAAGCATAGACGGTGGTTTCATATATATATATTTGCTGTGTTCAAGTTAATACGGCATAGGCAAATATACCTAGTAGGGAGAAAAAGACCTTTATATCATCCACTGCACTGAGGTCATAGTAATACAATGGCCCCATATCAAGAGAAAATTTTAAGCTATAAAAATGTCAGGTCACAAAATATGTGATTTGGATCAATCTTCCAGCTCTGTTTTTCAAAAAGGGTATTTCATTTGAAAAAGTGATGTGCGTGTGTGTGTGTGCACACTCAACTATCCAGTCATGTGTAAATATGTAAATTTAACTTTATGCATTTAAATGCATATTATTGTGAGATCACAAATTGATAATGAGAAAATATTTGATACAATTGAAAATCCCCTTATGATACAATAAAAAAGTAGCACAAGGGAGAGCTCTGCAGTAATGGAATAGTTCTGTATCTTGATTCCATCTCTGGTTACTGAAATCTACACATAATAAAATGGCATGTTATACATATAGAGTGTACCAATGTGAAGCTTCTGGGTTTGATATTGTACTGTTGTCCTATAAGCTGTTACCTGGCAAAGACAGAGTAAGGGGTACACAGAACTTTCGTGTACAAATTTTGCAACATCTTGGGAATCTGTAATTATCTCAAAATAAAAAGCTTAAAACTATATGAGCTATAATTCTGTGTATTCTTATATAATGCAAGACACAAAGGTATTATGCTAAATCTCAAGAAAAAGAAAAAAGAATACTTCAGGTTTTATCATATTTCTTTTCTATATTTATGTTTAAAATTGGGGTATTTTCAGAATTTCTCCAGATTTTGAAATTTTCTTCTGATAAAGCTTAGGTATATCTGCCTGTCTAACTTGAGTTAACTCCCAAATAACTTTCCAAGAATATTCCTATTAAAAGAACTAAGTAATTACTGTCTATCTAGAGTAAGGAAACAATCACGCTATTGAAACATGTATCAGAACTCTTTAATTTGCATCCAGGATTATTCTTTATCTCTTTTATGTTTTTATCTCTTCACTCTTATCCTTTATTCTTTATGTATTTCTGAGTAACTCCCATATTTTTTTTATTCTTTCCTCTCTTTCTTTTCTCTTTCTTTTATCTTGATCTCTGTCTCTTTTAACATTTTCATTCTATATACAAATATTTTAAAATTACTATTATTTTTACTTCTACTACCACCATGGCTGCTGCTACTACTTTTAAGTAATTTAGATATGAGGAAATTTAAAATGAATACAATTATGATTTTTTTGCATGGAAAATGTGTATTTTATAAATGAAACAATCTGTAAATTTTTATGAGCTTTCAGCCATAAAAAAATGAGAAATGTTATTGTACGTAATTGAATACAAAATTGCAGGTAGAAGAAAACTGTTTTCAATTTTCTACCTATTATACTATCATTAAAAACGTTATTGTATTTATGTTTAAATACTATGAGAGTAACACAATAGTGCATAGTTTGGTTGGATAAATATTTGTTTAATAAAACAATAAAAAATAATTAAAAATGTTTAGAATTCATTGAGCTTATCAGTTATGTATAGTTATCTAGCCTTCTTACCCCACTTTGGGAATACACAGTAGTCATCTAAAAGTTATATTTGTAACCTTTTAGAAGTTTTAGTTAAGACTAAGATACCACACTTTTATGACTAAATAAATGTTTTATATTTTATTGTCTTTCTCATCATTCATTTTCTCTAATAATTATTTCAATATATTGTGTCATTATTTCTTTCTCTAGTTTACAGATATCTAAACTCAAAGGAATTAAGAACAGTCCTCAAAGACAAAAAGCTGCATTGCATCAATATTACATTTATATCTTCTAACTTTACTGCTGAGCTTTTTGGGCTGAGCCATGATACGGAATATTCCAACTAAGATTGAAGATATTTCTTTGGTTAAAATGGTAAACATCTGTAGAAAAAAGACCAAACAAATCATTTAAACTTTCAACTGAAAAGCTGGTATACATCCTGAATTAGGCTTATATCAAATGCATCATGAGACGATTATTTGTCCTTTCATCTGAATTCAGAAAGAGTTCTCTATCACCTGCTACTTTGCATGGATGAGTGATTTCCAAAGAATATACTGTATCATTCACACATAGCACTTTTTATAGGCTGCCTGAGCTATTCAGCACTCTAATGACTTTAGACCAAATGAAAAACAGACATAATAACATTAGAGACAGATGTTTTTCTATAAGATCCTTTGATTAAATCAAAGAAAATGGTATTATCATGCTTTAAAAAATATTAACTCAACTTATTTTTTGAAAGAAATCCCACTCTAATACCAAATTACTTTTGTCATTTCCAATGAACTCTCTAGTACCGGTCACATCACTGTAACTGCCTTACTTTGGTTTCTATTATGTTACACAAATGATTCAAATCCAGTTATTTTATGTTAGTCTAATTATTAAAATTAGGTGGACATCATGTAACATCATAATGCATTTTATGTATATGGGTAGAAAGGAATGACATAAAGCACAACTTAGGATATATATATAGATATATATAGATATATATTTGCATAATGTTTCAACAACTCCAAATGTTGTATTCTCAAAGGCAGCCACACAGATCTTCAAATAAATACAATATAAAATTTGACTATCCTTCGTGGAGTTGTAGGCACTGGAGTGGTACAGATCATGTGGAACATTAGGGAAATAAAAAACACACACTGACTGATTTTAAACAGTTCTCCCTCTTCCCAGAATTTACTCAAATCCCAGAGCACACACACAAAGATATGTTTTTTTTTCCTCTCAATATATCTAGTATGTAGTCTTATGAGCCAATGGGCTTTTTGAGAAATATCAAAGGGACCATTATCTTCCTGAGTTTAAGTGCTATCATAAAATCATCTCTACTTACATGACAGAAAAGAGAAAGAGACAAAGGATGGAAAACAAACAAAAAAATAACAACAAAGACCAGCTCTCCCAAAGGCAAACTTAGAGTCAAATATGTTTAGAATATCTTTTCTGTTGGAGCCACAACCAACCCCATGTCCCTACTTACAACTTTAGTTATTCCAAAATTGTAGAGTGAAATTTTACACATCACAACTCAAAAGTGAAAAAAAAAAAGTTATAATTGCTCTCATCTTGCTCATTTCCCTATTTTCTAATCACAGATGACAGGAAAGGTACAGACATATTTAAAATTGCAGTTCATTTTGGCTCTTTGAGTTTACTCTGTTTCTGCTTTATTCTTTCTTAAGCCATTTAAGTCCTTTTCAATTTTTAAAACATTATTTATTCACTCATGTATTTACATCACTATTGTCTCAAATGTAATTATTTACTCTCTGGTCATAATTCAATAATTTTGCTATTTATTTTATTGTTCATTGCCCCCTCCAACCCCCTGTGCTTATTGGAAACACTTTCAAGTTAGTGCTTGTGTCCTATTAATGTATTGTAAGTTTAGTAAAGCATTTTAGTTTCTGGCAATACAAGAAAATCCAGATCAAGCTCAGTGTGTGGTTTCTCGGCCCAAACTTCAGAATCAACGTTTCTGCAAGGGGTTTTCTCTTTTTTTCCTTGTATTAGAGGATGGTATTTAGAAGCCATGATCTGGGGATACTAAGTATGATCATTGGTATTGCTGCATTACTGCCTATAAGCTCTGTAAGAGAACAGAGTTACAAAAAAATATGTATGTTCACTAATAAATATATATACACATATATTAATATTTGGTTTTTATCTATGTATCTACAAAAATAAATAATTTTAGACTGATAAATCTGATTATATTCCAGCACCACATGATTTATTCTAACATTCTCCTTACTTACTTGTCAAGTCTTTTCTCTGACAGTGAGAAATTCAGCACTCAGTAACTATACTGTATTTACTTATTTTATTAACAACAGGATAAATGTAGTTATTTCATCATTGCTAAATATTACCCCTTTGATAAATAAACACATAATTATATTAGTGTTATGTGCAGTTCATTTTGCTGTTGGCCTTCTATATTTTGACAAAACATTCTTTTCTGAAATTATTTAGGCTAGTTCCTATCTTTATTACCTCTTTCAAAGTGCCATTTATTATTAATACAGTTAGATACATTTGTCACAATGTGCATTACACCCTGGGTTATCCCCAATATCTTGGTTGACTTTTTTTTTTTAGCTTGAAGGGCATTTTCTGGAGACTGAGGGAGGGATAAATTTTCTACATAAACTAACATGTGATCTGCAAATTGAGACAGTTTTCATGAGTATTTTCCAATTTGTCTGTTTTGTCTTTTTCTTTTCTTTCTTTTTTCTAGCCATCTTGCACTTGGTAGGATTTCTAGTGTGATATGGAAAAGAAAAAGTGAGAAAACTGTTTAGTCTTATTACTAGATTTAGAAGAAAAGCAGCCAGTCTGTCACCATTAAATATGAAGTTTGTTACAGATGCCCTTTGTTGGGATTCTCATATTTTTATGTGCTTTGTAACCTTCTTTGGTTACTGTTGTACATTTGGTATAGGGCAATTGATACTAAGTACATATTGTTATTTTCAAAATATTTATTAGCACATTTTTCCTTTGCTTGACTTTGGCTGGGTCTTTGCATTAATTTTCTCAGGAGTCAGAGCATGTGTGATGCCTTTTGGTGCATTGGGAGGTGGGAGGAGCCTGTTGCCTGATTGTTCTCTTTTGAGTTCTTGCTGATTCCACTAAGACAGCCTTTATGGGACATTGAAAAATTTGGCTATAATATTTTTGAGATTTTTCAGTAAGATATGGAGTCTGTTTTTCTAAAACTTGGATTTGGGCTGGTCTTGCTACTTTATTTTGTCAATAGAAAGAGAAAATGATGGTCTTAGGGCTTAAGAGACCTTTTAATTTCCACTCATAGTGCTTCACAGGAGATCTGCCACCACCACTATGCGCATGAGTCCAGGCTAGTTTGCTATATGATTTGAGACATATGGCCTAGTTCCCCTGTCCCTTGGCCAGCAGTCAGCAAATTACCAGCCAACTGTCAGATATATGAATGAAGCCTTCAACCGCTGGCTGAAGGCAAATGTGTGAGTGAATCTAGCCAAAACCAGCAGAAAAACTGTCCAATGAGCACCAACCAAGTTGGCAAACCACAGAATTGATGGCAGGGATGGATCAATAGAGATGGATTACAGTAGATGCAATAGACCCTTTCATTTCTTCATTGCTCTTCTATTTTCAACATCCAGAACTGTAAAGGATTTATTTAATTATAAATTCCCTTATGTTATATTTGCTTTTACCATGCTTTATAGCTTTTTTCTCTCAATTACTGAAAAAATATTTTATAATATTGAAAACCGTGTATTTCTCCGCAGAGCCTGCTTTCAAGACAATTGATTCACTGTAGACAAATCTGTCTATAAAATTTAAAATTCAGACAGAAGCAATGGACCATTTATCTGAGCTTGATGCCCCAAAGCTGTGGAAGAATTGATTTCAATGGGTGTGGAAAGCTGAAAATATGTGGATGAATGATCCAAGGAGCATTGGTTCAATATCACATCAGTATTATCCATATTATAAATTTACTAGCCATAGTGATTGCTTTCATTCCTTTCCACATATATTCATCACTAATTCATGATTTTCCATTTTGTTGTCTCCTAACTTGATCTTAACTTAGGCTGTGGTAGATATTTGTTCACATAAAGTCTTAGTCGTTCAATATCTGAAATAATCAGTATATTCAGTAGTTACCAGTGTATTTGTTGCCAATTTTATTTTATCAATTTGTAATGGACACTTTCTTACACCAAATATTTGGAATCATTTCTTACTGCTTTTGTTTGACTTGGTAGAAAGTCCTTAAGTAGAATATATATGTATATATATATACACACACACACACATATACATAGGTGTAAGTAACAGAGCATAGGGTTTTCAGTTGTGCAGTAGTTTATCAAGGAAATATATTTTACAATATCTACTCAATTTCAGTTATGAAAAACACATGTTTCTTCCAAAAGTCCCACGTCAATGTCAGTGTAAATTCCACACACTGTATTGTGTGAGACTCCATAGTATCTGGCTGCTGTGAAAGTTACTGACCTTACTACTAGTCACATCCCATTACACTAAATCCTCAAATGCACATTCCCTCCTACACACATACAGTGATTTTTATGTATTCATTTTATTGTGGTGCTATTCTATGCCTTGTCTTATTTGACAAAGTCTACAAAGTATTTTAATGATAGCATTTTCCATTATCCTCTTTGACCTCCACATATCCACAATGAAGTATTTCTTTCTCTGTGACAATCAGAACATTTGCCCATAGTTCTATAAACTTATAGTGTGTAGCATTGTAATTGTCCATCCACATGTTAAATTATCTCAAAGAAAGAGGCCTAGACATATTATTCTTCATTTAGAGCGCACATGGAACACTGTAGTGTTGTTATTTATAAAGTTACAAAAACCAAAGTCATGCCTTCCTTGTTTTTGGCTCTCTCCCCATCATCCAACATAGGTCTTGACATATAATTCTAAAACCAATGAATACCTGAGGAGTGAGTCAGTTTGTGTATTATGTATTATAGTAATGAGCAAAATATAGCAAATACGAGAAACTGCTTCATGGAACTTATGGATCATTGATGAAGAATAGACATCAAAATAGAACATTCAATTACAAAATAAAAACAGAACTGAAATTAGAAAGCTATAGAGAAAAATCTATTGAGAGCTCTAGTTTCAAAAAAGGACTATCCAAACACAGTGTATGAAAGCTTAATCATGCATTGGGCCTCTATATCCATGGGTTCTACATTCGTGGATTCAACCAACCATGAATTGAAAATATTTTTAAAGAATCACCTCTGTTCTGAACATCCACAGAATTTTATTCTTTTCATTTTCCCCTAAACAATACAGTATAACTACTCACATAGCATTACTTAAGAGTAACTTAGAGTTGATTTAAAGTATGCAGAAGGATGTGCATAGATTATATGCAATAGTGTGTTATTTAATATCAGGCACTTAAGCATCTATGGATTTGGTATCCACAGAGGTCCTGGAACAAATTACCCATGGATACCAAGGGATGACTGTAATTTGAGTAGTATCAAATATAATATGCCAAGGATGTAAAGGAAAAATCAAAATACAGAAACACATATCACTTTGATATAAATATATCCCATATGAATAAGATATACCATCCTAAATACAGTTCATTAAAAATAATACATGCAAACAAAATACTGAAGTCACAGTAATTGCTGAATTCATTTTTAAAATGAAGAAATTTTAGTATCTATCTTCTCTCACTCCATGTACATTATGGCAAAAGACTAAAGAGAGAATGCTGTCTATAGCAGTGAAAGATTACTAGTTAGTTCATGGACAGAATCATTGTTTATAGTTCTAAACCCTTTGTTAAGTCAATTCTTCAGACATTTATTGGATACGTACTATGAAGAATGCACTGTTGTAAGTGATAGCAATTTAGTCGATTTTAGGATTAGAGAAGACTAAAATTTCTCTCCAGCTCAGGTATGAGGGACCAGAAAGATTCTAGACATAGGCCTAAAAATGCAAGTGTACTGAAAGAATCTTATAGTCTCTCTCTTTTTAGAAATGTCAGTACTATCT
Organism: Homo sapiens; assembly: GCF_000001405.40. NCBI lineage: Eukaryota > Metazoa > Chordata > Mammalia > Primates > Hominidae > Homo > Homo sapiens. The sequence goes on from NC_000016.10 coordinate 63,439,778, forward strand.
TTGAACTAACTTTAGGTGTAGGGTAGCATGTCTCCAAAGCCAAGTGCAGATCAGCATAGTCTTAAATGTAAACATAGTTGATGGTAAGACACACAAACAAGTGGGAATTTAAAAGTCAGAGACCTAGAACCATCTTAGGTATACAGTTACAGTGTAGCAAGAAAGCCAGACAAAATAAAATATGAAGTATGTGTTGGGTTTCAGGTAAGAAGCACAATCTCTTCATGCAGTGCTAGAGAGCCTTACCCTTGCAAATGGTCTCCGATGTGTTATTAAATAAGTAACTGCTATAGACAGCATACTCTGTTTAATCTTTAGCCGTAATGCATATGGAGGGAGGAAGAGAGATGCTAAAATCTCTTCATTTTAAAAATGAATTCAGCAATTAATGTGACCTCAATATTTCATCTGCATGTATTATTTTTAATGAACAGTATTTAGGTAATATATCTTATCCTTCTGAGATATATTTTTATCTAACGTAATATGCATTTCTGTATTTTGGTTTTTCCTTTATTTCCTTGGCATACTATATTTGATATTACCCAAAGATTTTCTATTTATGAATGTAAAGCAAAGATAATACTATAGGTCATACAAAAGTATAATTAAAAATGTCAACACAGGGCCAGGCACAGTGGCTCACACCTGTAATCACAGCACGTTGGGAGGCTGAAGTGGGAGGATTCCTCGATCCCAGGACTTTTGAGATCAGTTTGGGAAACCTGGCAAGACCAAATCTCTCCAAAAAAAAAAAATTAAAACTAGCCAGGAGTAGTGGTGTGCAACCGTAGTCCCAGCTACTTGGGAGGCTAAGGTGGGAGGATCACTTGAGCTAGGGAGGTCGAGGGTGCAGTGAGCCATGGTCATGCTACTACACTCCAGCCTGGGCAACAGAGCTAGACCTTGCCTGAAAGAAAGAAAGAAAGAAAAGAAAGAAGGAAAGAAGGAAAGAAAAGAAAGGAAAGAAAGGAAAGAAAGAAAGAAAGAAAGAGAAAGAAGGAAGGAAGGAAGGAAAGGAAGGAAAGAAGGAAGAGAAAGAAAGAAAAAGAAAGGAAGGAATGGAAAGAAAGAAAGAAAAAGGAAAGAAAGAAGAAAAGAAAGAAAGAGAGACTCAATGTATAATCATAAGAATCTTAGAGCAATCCTCCTGCTTGCAGGTTGCTTCGATCATTCTAACCAATTGAATAGAGGACTAGAAATAATCGGACATCAAAAGCACAGAATTAAGAATTTCTTCACTAGATTACTGGTAGATATTTTCTATTTGCCTATCTGTTTTTCATCATTCTATATCTGAGAAAAAAAAAACTAAGTTTTTCTCTGAAGGTCTAATACCTTTTGTACTCTGAATCCATGGAATTTGAGTTAGGATCACTCCCCAAGCTCACCCCTAACCCATCTAAAGTAAGTGCATGATCCAGATTTCAGGAATAAAAGTCTGACTAAACATAAACACATGAGCTGAAATAGTTCCAGATTAGTTTTATACTAAAATTATATAGTTAGTATACTAATATACTAATATATAGTTTTATACTAATCTCTGGAATGTTTTAGGAGTGGAAATAAGTCCTAAGAAAATACATCTTTTCTTTCTAGAGAAATACTACAAAGCAATTTCTCTTTTTCACTTCAATCTGAGATGAGAAAAATCACAGCCTGAATTTCAACATCCAATTGACCATTGTTGGGGGAATACACAGAAGTTGCAAGGAATACTATTTAGAGATGGAGAGAACAATTGTAGTACTTTTGTTTGCATAAGTGGCCAAAATTATGTGTGTCCCTATATCTATTTTTCTTTGTAATGTGACATTGCAGGTCCCACTATAAACTCAACTTCCCCTACCCCGTAATATAGATTAGATTTGTGACTTACTTTCTTTATTTCTTTCTTTCTTTTCTTTCTTTCTCTTTCTTTCTTTCTTACATTGCAGGTCCCACTATAAACTCAACTTCCCCTACCCCATAATATAGATTAGATTTGTGACAGACATTTCTTTCTTTCTTCCTCTTTCTTTCTTCCTCTCTTTCTTTCTTCCTCTCTTTCTTTGTTTCTCTTTCTTCTTTCTCTCCCTCTTTCTTTTCTTTCTCTGTTCTTTCTTTCTCTCTTCTTTCTCTTTATTTCTTCTCTCTCTCTCTCTCTCTCTCTTTCTTTTTTGAGATGGAGTCTCACACGGTCACCTAGGCTGGAGTGCAGTGGCACGATCTCCACTCACTGCAACTCCTGCCTTCCGGATTCGAGCAATTCTTCTGCCTCAGCCTCTATAGTAGCTGGAATTACAGGCGCCCGCCACCATGCCGTCTTAATTTTTTGTATTTTTAGTAGAGACGGGGGTTTCACTATGTTGGCCAGACTGGTCTTCAACTCCTGACCTCATGATCCACATGCCTTGGCCTCCCAAAGTGCTAGAATTACAGCCGTGAGCCACCGTGCCCTGCCAGATTTGTGACTTTCCTTAAGCAACGGAATGTGGTATGAGTGTCATTGGACCGGTTTTATGCCTAAACCTAGGCCTCAAGATGCTCTGTGTTCTTCTGCTCTTGCTTGTTTTAACTCTGGCAGTCATGTACTCAAATCCAGGCTTAGCTTGCTGAATGATAAAAAGGCATGTGGCTAGTCATTCCTGTAGCCTCAGTTGACAACCTGTAAAGCCATCTAGCTGACTGGCAACAAACCAAGAACAAAAGATGAGGTCAGCTGAGATGAGAACTCCCCAGCTAGCCAGGCCAAATTACTGATCTACACAATCACGAGTTGTATAAACGTTTGTTCTTTCAGCACCTAAATTATGGGGTGGTTTGTTATGCAACAAAAGCTGATACCTTAACCTACGTATAAAAAGACCAAACACATTTTGATGCTATTGTTAGTATCTGAATTCAGCTGCCCTTCAAACTTTAATTTCATTAATGAACACACTTCTTTCCCCTTAATTTGGTACAGATTGGAATTTTCTGACAGTTGCAACAGAAGAAAGATTTTTTGTTGATTCACCTACTAACCAGTGTATGTGCTCTCTTCAATCTATTTTACCCACTACAGATATTGACATATTTTTCTGCTTTATAACATGTTTATGTGACTCCCCAACTGCTTTTCAATATATTTGAAAGTCTTTGTATGGTCCTTCTTAAAGTATGTCCTATATAATTCTTGACAATCATTGTCAACACTAAGCTAGTCACACATCCCAGACTCTAGGAAAGCTATCTTCGCTATTGCCATTAAAAACATGAAAACCTCTACAAGACCACCATACTTTCATGCTGCTTGATATTCTTTTTTATTATTATTATTTTTTATTTTTTTGAGATGGAGTCTCGCTCTGTCACCCAGGCTGGAGTGCAGTGGCGTGATCTCCAGCTCACTGCAACCTCTGCCTCCCAGGTTCACGCGGTTCTCCCACCTCAGCCTCCTGAGTATCTTGGATTCCTAGGTATTTTATTCTCTTTGAAGCAATTGTGAATGGGAGTTCATTCATGATTTGGCTCTCTGTTTGTCTGTTATTGGTGTATAAGAATGCTTGTGATTTTTGCACATTGATTTTGTATCCTGAGAGTTTGCTGAAGTTGCCTATCAGCTTAAGGAGATTTTGGGCTGAGACAATTGGAAAAACTACTTTAAAGTTCATATGGAACCAAAAAAGAGCCTGAATCGCCAAGTCAATCCTAAGCCAAAAGAACAAAGCTGGAGGCATCACACTACCTGACTTCAAACTATACTACAAGGCTACAGTAACCAAAACAGCATGGTACTGGTACCAAAACAGAGATATACATCAATGGAACAGAACAGAGCCCTCAGAAATAATGCTGCATATCTACAACCATCTGATCTTTGACAAACCTGATAAAAACAAGAAATGGGGAAATGATTCCCTATTTAATAAATGGTGCTGGGAAAACTGGCTAGCCATATGTAGAAAGCTGAAACTGGATCCCTTCCTTGCACCTTATACAAAAATTAATTCAAGATGGATTAAAGACTTAAACGTTAGACCTAAACCCATAAAAACCCTAGAAGAAAACCTAGGCAATACCACTCAGGACATAGGCATGGGCAAGGACTTCATGTCTAAAACACCAAAAGCAATGGCAACAAAAGCCAAAATTGACAAATGGGATCTAATTAAACTAAAGAGCTTCTGCACAGCAAAAGAAACTACCATCAGAGTGAACAGGCAACCTACAGAATGGGAGAAAATTTTTGCAATCTACTCATCTGACAAAGGGCTAATATCCAGCATCTACAATGAACTTAAACAAATTTACAAGAAAAAAACAAACAACCCCATCAAAAAGCGGGCAAAGGATATGAACAGACACTTCTCAAAAGAAGACATCTATGCAGCCAAAAGACACATGAAAAAATGCTCATCATCACTGGCCATCAGAGAAATGCAAATCAAAACCTCAATGAGATACCATCTCACACCAGTTAGAATGGTGATCATTAAAAAGTCAGGAAACAACAGGTGCTGGAGAGGATGTGGAGAAATAAGAACACTTTTACACTGTTGGTGGGACTGTAAACTAGTTCGACCATTGTGGAAGTCAGTGTGGTGATTCCTCAGGGATCTAGAACTAGAAATACCATTTGACCCAGCCATCCCATTACTGGGTATATACCCAAAGGATTATAAATCATGCTGCTATAAAGACACATGCACATGTATGTTTACTGCGGCACCATTCACAATAGCAAAGACTTGGAACCAAGCCAAATGTCCAACAATGATAGACTGGATTAAGAAAATGTGGCACATATACACCATGGAATACTATGCAGCCATAAAAAAAATGATGAGTTCATGTCCTTTGTAGGGACATAGATGAAGCTGGAAACCATCATTCTCAGCAAACTATCGCAAGGACAAAAAAACAAACGCCGCATGTTCTCACTCATAGGTGGGAACTGAACAATGAGAACACATGGACACAGGAAGGGGAACATCATACACCAGGGCTTGTTGTGGGGTGGGGGGAGGGGGGAGGGATAGCATTAGGAGTTATCCCTAATGTTAAATGACGAGTTAATGGGTGCAGCACACCAACACGGCACATGTATACATATGTAACTAACCTGCACGTTGTGAACATGTACCCTAAAACTTAAATTATAGTAAAGAAAGAATAAACCATTAATAAATTTACCTAGAAATGAAACTTCAGAATTACATTAAACATTTAGCCCAGATTAAATGATACTATGAGGATAGTCAAAGACACATATCTATGAATCATAAATTACCAACAGACACCTTTATTATATTGCAGATTTTTAAATATATGACAAAATCCAAACAAACTGCAAGTAAAAAAAGAAAAAAAAAACAAGGGTTAATTTTTCTCTACCCATGGTTCTTTGCACTGCTCTCTGCATAACTGTGCTAGACGTTTCTCATTTGGCATTCTTATTTTTATAGAGAAACATCTGTCCTTCTTTAATTAGGATACTCTACATTCCTCACACTAGTGGTTGTTAATAATTTTACCCAATGCTCTATATGGATTACATTTTTTAGCTCCACAAAATTAGACTTTTCCATTATAGTGCTTATAGTGCGATGTCCTTGAACAACTTTCTTTTTATATGAAATTTGGGAAGAACTTTGAGATGGTCGAATTGGTGTTATGTGGAGGTAGTACACATTCAAAAACTCATCAAGGGGAAATTTCTATGGGGCATGTTGGCAGATAGGAAGAAAAGAAGAAGAAAAAGTGATATTTTTGGTTCATTTAATGAAGTTGATAACCATTAGTAGAAAATAATATTTTCAGCATTTAGGATACAAATTACATTCTGCATTTTGTGCTATCAGAATGTTAAGCATTCTTTTTACAATGGGGCTGTATTTATTTTAAAATTTTGAATTTTTAAAACTATTTATAAAATGAAAACATTAAAAATATATATATATATTTCTCATAAAACAGAGCTTCCCATTTCCTGACTTTATTTTTGCCAGAGCTTCCCATTTCCTGACTTAATTTTTGCAGACTTTCTCAACTTTTCTTAGTTGTGGGTAGACACACACTTTGGAGGAAGCCTGTCAAAAGCCAGCAAACTAATAGTCTGCACTTATAACCAAAATGTATGAGTGTGGTTAACTTGCAGTTGCTGATGACTTATTGGACACATTAGTTTAATCCTATTTTTTTCTTCCATAGTTTGGAATTATCAAGACAGCTCTTATCTCTGTTAGATTGTGAGAGCTATTTCATATTGAATTGCAAGTTTTCAAAATCTTGGTTTTATATTTTATCAATATTATGTCTCTCAATGTGTCTTAAAGGTATCTGAAGATGCAAGCCAAATTACACTAAATGTATTGTTTCTTCAAATTTGAAACTGTTTCATAATAACTGAGCAGCACAGGGGAGTAAGATAAGGTTTGGACCCAGTAGCCTGGGGTCAGTTTTCAGCAACCTAAGGAAAATCTGATATCTCTGAGTCGGCTTCCTCAACTACAGACTGAACACAATGGCACAAGTATTGCCCCCAGTATAAGGTTGTTTTAAAGATATACAGAGGTCAATGCTTTAAAATATTCAATCTCTTATAACATAAAAAGAGATGTTAAAATTGAAATATTTGATGGCATTTTGGTCTCTCCAAAATCTGTGAGTCATGAGATAATATCTCTCATGACATTGTAAAAAAAAAAAAAAAAAAAAAAAAAAAAAAAAAAAAAAAAACATAAAAAAAAAAAAAGATGCAAATGTTAATACCAAGCACATGAAGCCAACAGTGATCTTGTTCATAAATTATATTACTAATTTCTGGGTGCATACATACACACTCACAGAAATATATATTCTAAGAGAATGTATATCTGTCTATATATCAACATTTACGGTTTTTGTTTCTTATTTTATAGGACTATTTTAAGAATCAAAATTACATTTATGTAGGCTTTAGCAACCCAACACATGCTGAATATACATAGTCATCATCAATATCATTATTGTTTCTATTAATTAGAAAGCTGGCACTCAGTGCTTAAAGGAAATAAGAAAAATAAAGTAATCAAATACAGGAGAATTAACACTGTCATAAGAAGTAACCTAAAAAATGTTAAATCTAGTAAGTAAAGACAAAATATAAAGTAAAAGTTGGAGGTAGAATTATGTCATAAGAGCATAATGATGAAAATTGCAGAATCATATCATATTAAAATAAATCATTTGGCTTCTGGTTAAACAATGCCCATGATTAACTACCTCCAATGCAGTGTTTCTCAAATTCTCATAAAAGAAAAATAGATAAATATTCATAGAAATAAAACATACAAGTTTGAAAAACAAGGACCAATTTCCCAGAACAAGCAATAGTCATCTAATGCCAGAAGCTAAAAAGAATCCTATATAATAGGCACATTATTTTAAAAATTACTCAGATCCTGCTACATAAAATCGAAGTCTGCCCAAAACATGAAGGTAAGGTAGTTTATACTTCCTCTATCACTTTCCCCTGCCAAAAGCTAACAGAAAAGTGGATCGTTATCTCTCTCACAAGAGGGCTATTGTGAAGGTTGCTAGAATCCTATTATGTCTTCCTGTTCCAGTCTGTGCTGACCTGTTTAAAGACAAGTTAATTGAGAGGGGAGAGACCTACATGGTTTTTCAAAATGATTTTATGGAAAAGCTGAATCTAATACCTACATCTTCTTCATAAAAAAACAAACAAAACAAAATAAATAAAATCTATGTCTTCTTTATTCCTGACACTACTGAAAAGTAAATTTCCCTTTGGTAACTGGCTAACAATGATTAATAATAATAAAAATATAAAATCAAATTTTTATCCAAAACAAACTTATTGACATAATAGTCAGGCACTTATATGCTACCTTGATCTTACTTCTCATGGTAGAATTCAGCCCATTATCTTCTTGAAAAAAATATGGCTTAATTATGTAGGAAATGATCAGAAATGCCCACGAACCAAATTATTCCTTAAAGAAATGTCAATTTTCAGCTTATTAAATAAATATTTCATTCTCGCCCAGCATTCCCGCACAGAATCTCCTACGCAAATGCAAGCAACATTTAAGAGTTTAAGACTAGTGCAGAAAGCATGTAACAGATGACATTTAGAAACCCACTTCAAAGTAAATATTTCATTTGAAAAGAAAAACAGAGAGGAGGTAGAGACACAGATGAATGATAGTTTAAACACACTCTCGTGTCCACAGAGGTCATCATTCATGCCATCCATAACTGTTGACACTAAAATACATATTTATCTGTCTCCTTTCTATGCTTTGAAAGCTCTTAAAACTACATGCTGAGCACTTTGAATTCTTTGGAGCATAGACTAATTAAGAGGCAGTCTCTGCAGTCAGGCTTGTGGGTTCCCTCTCTTTTATACTCGTGAAGCCCTGGGGATAATATGTAACCTCCCTGTGCCTTGCCTTTTCTCATCTAGGCAATGGGGATACAAAGAAATCTCACCTTACAGAGCTGTTGTGAAGATTTAAGGACTTAATAAATAAAAGTCACTTATAGTCATGCCTGAAGATGCATACTGAGGTCTTTATAAAAGTTATCTATTCTTTTAGCTTCCCAGAGCCCAGAACAATGTCTGGCCTAGTGTATATTTTCTCGATTTATCTTTCTCTCAACTCAATGTTTTGCTTTATTTTTGAGTTCTCTTTACCGTCTTGAGTTTTCTCCACTACGCTGAGAAAGATAAAGGGCTATGACACTCTAAAACAGATACCTTGAGTAGGTAAGGACACTGTCTCCTCTTTTATGCTAGAGTGCAGGAGGCAATCAAAGAAAGAGTATTGTTGGAAAAACTAACTGTAAAACCAGACTAACCAGACTGTCTCTTCTATCTGAATCTGTCATGCAGATGAGGTTTTCACTTCTAAAAATCTATCAATTTTAGGAATTTACCAATGGGATGGAACTTGGTGAAAGCAATAAACATGGAAATATGCTATTTCTTTATACGAGTCCAGCAAAGGGAAGGCAAGAGGTGAAGGTGGTTTCTGAAGTGTTACCTGTGTAACTCTGGAGCAGATATTGTCTCCCCAGTGCTAGCTACTCAATACATGCTGAACAGAACAGACTTTGGAGTTGGTTGGGCATGAACAATGTCAGGGCCAACCATGAGCATCCTTCCTATCTGAATACGTTGTTCAGCACTTGGTCAAGAGCACAACATATGTTAGCAGCTCTGTAAATACAAACTCTGTGAGCCTCCACAATATATGATGTGTATTGCACATCATGTATTGACCAACCTACTGAACCCCAAATATTTTGACCAACCTACAACTTGGTGAAAACTCCAAGTACTGAGTGCAAAATTTAGCTTCCTGTGGTATCAAAAGTACCTGCGCAACATCTGACCCCATTTCCTACTATCTCTGGTTTTCCAAATGTACACATTTTCTTCTCTTTAACTAGGTTTATTATTACCCTGATTGTTCAAAAATTCAGGCCTGCAGCAAAAAGGAGTAAACAATTTCAGCAACAGCAATCTTTTCCAGACCCCAATGTCATACTAACTATTGAAACAGAGTTCAAACTCTTTTTTATTTTACAGTTTTCTTGAGGTATAGTGGATATAAAAAATAACTACATATATCTAATGTATATCATTTGATGAGTTTGGACATACATATACACCCTTGATATTCTCACCACTTTGAAGAATATAGATATATTCACTATGTACAAACATTTGTGTGTGTGTGCATGTGTGTATTCCTTCACTTTGTGTGTTTCTGTGCATGTGTGATAACAACACTTAACATAAGATCTACCCTTTTAAGATATTTTTAAGCACAATGCCATATTGTTATATATAGGAATACAGCAAATAGCTAGAATTTATTTATTTTGTGTAACTGCAGTTTTCTACACATTGAACAACAGCTTCCCATTTCTCACCTCCCCTATATCCCGGAAATCCCCATTCTATTTTCTGCATTTAAGAGTTTAATGTAAGCAGAATCATGTAGCATTTGTCCTTCTATGACTGACTTATTTTATTTAGCATAATGTCTTCCAGATCAATCTATATTGTTGCAAACATAGAGTACCCCCTTTTTAGGCCAAATATAATATGTCATTGTATATATATGCCACATTTTCTTTATTCATTAATCCACTGCTAGACATTTGGGTTGCTTTTATGTCTTGGTTGCAAAAAATTATGCAGTGAAAACTGAGTGTATATATCTCTTTGAGATCCTGATTTTAATTATTTTGGATATAAACCCAGACATGGGATTGCTGAATTATATACTAGCTCTACTTTTAAGTATTTTTTTCTGAGGAACTTCCATAATATTTTCCATAGCAGCTACATCATTTTACATTCTCACCAACAGTGTGCAAGAACTATTTCTGCACAATATCAACAACAATTTTATCTTATCATTATATTATTTTTTATAACAGCCATCCCAACAGGTGTGAGGTAATATCCCATTGTGGTTTTGATTTGCATTTCCCTCATGTTGGCATTATTGAACACCTTTTCATACACCTGTATGCTTTTATTTATGTCTTCTTTGGAGAAATGTCTATTTAAGTCCTTTGCCCATTTTTGAAGCATGCTATTTGGTTTTTTGTTATGGAGGTGTAGGAGTTCCTTAGATATTTTGGAAATTAACCCATTATTTGATATATACGGTTTTCAAATATTGTCTCCCATTGTGTAGGTTGCCTTTATACCTACAGAATATTTCCTCTGCCATGTAAAAGTTTTTAATTTGATGTAGTCTAACTTGTATATTTTTGCTTTTGTTCCTGTGCTTTTGGTATCATATCTATGAAATAATTATCAAAACCAGTGTTCTGAAACTTTTTCTCTATGCTCCCTTCTACGAGTTTACACTTTGAGGTTTTAAGTATTTAAATTATTTAAGTTGATTTTTGTATATGACAAAAGATAGGAGTTCAAAAGATAGGAGTTCAATTTCATTACTTTGTCTAAAAAGAGTAAATAAAGTAAATTATTCTTATCCTTACGTATACCTAGAGTTTATGGTTAGTCCTTAAATCTTTATTCCTGGTAGTACCCCTTCCGGTAATCAGAGATTCTACACTTAGGTTCTGCTGTATTCTTCTAAGAAGGCTTTTGCATCAATGAAGTGCATCTAATACAAAAAGACTGCAAGAAATTAAAATAAAATAAATACATCAAGGCCTTGTCAAGAATTTACTATATGGAGATCACCAGTCCTGTAGGAAAAATAGGCCTATTTTCTATCTTCAAGAAGATCATGCCCTAACTGTGGAGTTGAGTTTGCAAAAACACTCTACTAAGTCTCATTTAATGTCATCGTCAGTTTCCTCCATTAGGTTTTAAGCCTTTTGATAGCAGTGTATAAGGTATTCATCTGAATGTGCTATACTAAGCAATTGTCCTGTAAAATTGCAGGATTTACTAATTTACTCAGCAAATAATTTTGAGCTATAGCAAACAGGATAGAGATGCATATGGAAAAAACAATACACAAAACCCTGCCCTAATGGAGCATACCTGCTGGCAGGAGGATGGTTATATGTGAAGACAAAAAATGTCTAAATAATTAGCATGTTAAATTAATTAGTGTGTGACAAAGTTATACGTGTTGTTATAGAAAAAAATGTTGAAATGTAGATTAGAGTAATATGGATCAGAAAAAGAGAAAAGAGGCGAGCTTATAATGCTAAATGAGATGTTGTCAAGGTAGACTTCATAGAGAAGTGACAAATGAGCAAATATTTGCAGGAGATGTTAACAAAGGAGGTTGGGAGGAGGGAGAAGATCCTATCCACATAGTGATATTATCCAGTGCAAAAACTCTCAGGATAGAGAATGACTGAAATGTTTGTGTAAGATTAGAAAGGTCAATGTAGCTGAAGTAGAGTTAGCAATAGTAAGAATAAGTTTAGAAAGAAAATAGTAGAGAAAATCTCTATAGGCATGTAGGCCATTATTAGTAGAAACTTGATTTTATCTCTGAAGGAAGTGGAAGTCATTGCTGCATTTTGAGCAGAGAAATGTATGACTGTTGTACTAATTTAAAGGTACTGTTGGCAATATTATGTTTAGATGAAGAAAGGAAGCCATTTTTACCTTACCCCACCATAAAAAGTAAATATAAGTACAGGTTGAGAATCCCTAAACCAAAAATCCAAACCCCAAATGTTTCAAAATCTGAAATTTTTTGAGCACCGACATGACGTCACAAGTGGAAAATTCCACACCTGGCCTCCTGTGATTGGTTGCAGTCAAAACACAAGCTCACAACATGCAGTTTATTAAGCATTCCCAAGGGAAAATAGACCCTCCCACAGCCTTTCAGCTGGGTATGTCTTTGCTGTACACCACAAGTCTCCCTCACGAAAGCATGCCCACAAAGGCTAATACAATATCATATGTGCTGGGCAGAGCAACTAATGGCATGTCCCTCACAAAGATGCACACGGGACCAAGATCTAAATGCATCACTCACTTTGCTCTGTGGTATAAAGATACTCTCATTTATGGGTAACAGTGATAAGAAAAGTAGGAAGTGTTTATATTTATCTATAGCACAGAAATGAAACTGTTGGAAAAACTGGACAATAATGTAAGTATAAAACATTCTACAGAAGAATATGGTTTTGCAATGACCACCATATAGGGTCTGAAGAAATCAGAGTTATAAACTGTCGAAGTCCTATGCTAAAAGTGATAAACATAATTTAATAAAAAGCAGAAAAGTACTGAATAAAGTTTAAAATGAAGATCATCATGTATTGAAAGAGTGAATTTATTAACATCACAGTGAACACATGCCACCTAAGGGTAAGCTGATAATGAAATAAGCAAAGACCTATTATGATAAATTGAAAATTGAAGGGAACTGTAAATATTCAACAGGCTGGTTGTAGAATTTTAAGAAAAGACACAAAATAATGTTTGTAAAGATTTGTGGTAATAAAGTGTCAACTGACCATAAAATAGTACTGAAATTCATTTATGAGTTTGCCAAAGTCATCGCTGATTAAAATCTGACACCAGACTGGGTGAAATGACTCACACCTGTAATCCCAGCACTTTGGGAGGTCAAAGTGGGTGGATCACTTGAAGCCAAGATTTGATAACAGCCTGACCTACATGGCAAAACCCCGTCTCTACTGAAAAATACAAAAAAGTTAGCAAGGTGTGGTGGTGTGTGCCTGTAATCCCAGTTACTTAGGAGGCTGAGGTGGGAGGATTGTTGAACCCAGGAGGTGGAGGTTGCAGTGAGCTGAGATTGTGCCACTGCACTCTAGCTTGGGTGACAGAGCGAGACTCTGTCTCAAAAGGAAAAAAAAAAAAAAAAAGAAAAGAAAATCTGACACCAGAACAAGTCTATAATGCTGATGAAACATCACTGTTTTGATGTTATTGCTCCAGAAAGATACTGACTACAGCTGATGAGACAGCCCCTACAGGAATTAAAAATGCCAAGGACTGAATATCTGTGTTGGGATTTGTTTCACAAACATTTTCTACCAGCAGCTCATGCTAACTGCAGGGAAGCTGGACTGGATGATAACTGCAAGGTTTTATCTCTTCATAACTGTTCTGTTCATCATTCAGCTGAACTTCTCATAAAAAATAATGGTTATGCCATGTGGTTTCTTCCAAATATGACTTCGTTAATTCAGCCATGTGGCCATGGTATACTTACATTAATGAAGAGTAAATATGAAATCACTTTCTTGAACAGCATGCTAGCATCAGTGAACAGAGGCACGGATGTGGAAGAATTTCAAAAGGAGCTTAGCATGAAGGGTGGTATGCATACTGTTGCTAGCATGCGGAACACAGTGGATACAGACAGTTGTGTATGCCAGGCATAACCTCTGGCCTGCAACCAAGTTCAATGATGATGTGAACAAGAAGGTGACTGAAGGATTCCATATGTCCAGTGAGAAAAGAAAAATGATGTCTGACTTCCTTACATGTACAAAATTTTTATCTTCAGGGTGTCTGTAAGCTGGAAGAAGTAGATATCAAAGAAAATTTTAACATTGATAATGAGGCTCTATTTGTTTGTTTATTGACTAATGGTGAAATAGCTGAGGTGGTTCTGCATCAAGGTGATTGTTGTAAGAGTGACTATAAACATGACATTGTTTAACTCTGCAGAAAAAGTGCCTCATGATAAAAATTTGTGGTGGGTTTATTGAAGGACTATAGCAATGTGCATTTATAACAGAACAAGAAATTATGTCAATTTATAAAATCAAAGAGTGACATCTAAGACAAACATGTTAATGAGGTAGATAATTCATAGATGACTCTGGAGGAAGCATTTTAAAAAGCCCTTCCAGCAGAATTCCTCCTCATCCCTACAGCACCCACTTCCTGATACCTCAACTGTTTCTGATGTTTCTTATCACCAAAAACAATAAAGAATAAAATGCATAGTATAGTAACCTTTCAATCAAAACACAGCACTGGATGTGGAGATTGAAAGCCTGCCATTGTTCATTGTTGCTATTGTTTGACAGGAGATACAGATATTTTGGTGATGTTACTATGCTGTTTAGTGAACTGGAACACATTATTTTTCACTATATTAATACTATGTCATATATTTTACTGTTAAGCATTTACCTGTGAATAATTATTAAACAATGATTGCTTATCAGTAGCATATAAATTCAGAGTCAGGAATGATGATAATGCCAAAAACCACAGATTGCCCACATTGTTGACTAGATAATGACACCTTTGCTTTCTGATGGTTCAATGTACAAAACTTTGTTTCATGCCCAAAATTAATAAAAAGTATTTTATAAGATGATCTTCAGCATATAAAATATAAAATAAATTTTGTGTCTGGACTTGGGTCCAATCCCCATGAAATCTCATTATGTATATGCAATATCCAAAATTTAAAAACGTACAAATTCAAAACTATTTTGGTATCAAATATTTCAGATAAAGGATATCCATATTGTATATATGAATCAATAAATATCAAGACTCTAGACACCAGGTAATAAGGAACAGTAAGCACTCAAAGATGAAAATCAAATGAGGCAAACCTAACCATGTTAACCAGCTTACTGCAATGAGAGAGTTTCCATGAAGAGAGCATTGGTGAGCTCTGGAAAAAAATTCAAGAAACTTAATATACTTTAATGGGAGTTTCCAGAGAGGAATAAGAGTATGGAAAAGAAAAAAAAGGCTCAAAAGATTCAAATTTGGTAACAGATATAAGTCCATGGATAAAAAGAAGTCAAGTAAAAACCAGCAAAGAAAAATGTCACAAAATACAACATAAAGACACACAGTATCAAGTTTCCCCAAGCCAGTAAAATAGAAATAATCTAAAAGTATGCAGAGAAGTTTATATACAGAGAAACAAAGTTAAAACTAACAGCCAATTTCTTATCAGAAACAAGGCAAGTAAAAAGAGAGTGAAACAACTAGAGCAATGAGAGAGAAGAGAAAAGAAAAGACAAGGGGAGGAGAGGCGAGGAGAAGAGGAGAAAAGAATAGATAAGAAGAGAAAAAATGAGGAGAGAAAAGAGGAGAGGATGAGAGAGGGGAGGTAAGGAAAGGAGAGAAGAGAAGAGGAGAGGAGGAGAGGAGAGGATCGGAACGGAAAGGAGAGGAGAGGAGAGGAGAGGAGCGGAGAGACCATCAACCTATACTCAGTGAAAATATTTTTTCTAAAAAGCAGACAATAAAAAGACTTATTCAGATGAATATAAGCTGGAAGTATTCATTGCCAGAAGACTGAGCAGCCTTGTATTTTAAGAATTGTTAAAGAAGACTTTCTCAGAAAGAAAATGTTATATGGA
Source organism: Homo sapiens (assembly GCF_000001405.40). Lineage (NCBI taxonomy): Eukaryota > Metazoa > Chordata > Mammalia > Primates > Hominidae > Homo > Homo sapiens. The sequence goes on from NC_000016.10 coordinate 63,455,582, forward strand.
AATACAGATCTACAAACAGGAGCAAAGGATATAAAAATAGCAGCTATGTGTGTAAACACTTAGGGAAAACATAATACCAACTCTAAATAATCTCTTTCAGATATCTAAACAGCAAACACTTTTTCCAACTCAATTTGTGATTACATTGCTATTAAAACTAAACAAATTCATTACAAAAAATAGAATCTAATAATATACAGAAGACTAATTCATAATGACCAAGTGGTATTCAATCTAATTTAATTTAACACATTAATTTAAATTAATGGCATTAAATTTAATATAAGTTTCAACTATAATTTAAAAATTAGTAATAAAATGTACTATTTTAATTTGTTAATAATTTTAAAAGAAAAACAACATATACACATCTAATAAATACAGAAAAAACATTGACAGACTTCAACAATTATTCCTAAACAAAACAAAACAGATCATACTTAATGGATAAAAACTAAATTATCTTTCTCTAAGATCAGGAGCAGGATCAGGATGTCACCCCTTTTCTTTGTCACTGCTCTGGAGAGTCTAGCCAGTAAAATAAGGCAAGAAAATAAAACAGAGTAAAAAATGTGTATTCACTTTGACAACATGATTGTCTGTGTAGAGAAACCCATTAAATCTACAAAAAGAGAGTAGAAACAATAAGAGAGTTTAGGAAGGTTATAGATTACAACCAATATAAATACATAACTATATGTGTATGTAGTACATGTCTAGTCAGCCCTTCGTATCTGTGGGTTCCACATCCACAATGGCAAACAACCACTGATCAAAAACATTTAAAATATAAATTAACAATACAACAACAAAAAATATAAAACAAAAACCTATGTATTATAACAAATATTTTCATGGCATTGTATTGTATTCAGTATTATAAGTAATCTAAAAATGATTTAAAGTATAACAGGAGGATGAATGTAGGTTATATGAAATTAATATGCCATTTTATATAAGGGACATGAACATCCACGGATTTTTTCCTATCTGCAAGGGTACTGGAACGAATCCCCATACACAGATGAATATATATATATATATATATACACACACACACACACACACATAAGAACTCTCAAAACTCAACAAGAAAGAAAACAATCTATAAAAACGGCAAAAATTTCAGAAGAGCCTTCTCCAAGGAACATACATGAATATCAAATAAGCACATAAGAATGTCCTCAACACCACTAGTCATTATGGAAATGCAAATTCATTTATTTTTTTAATTGACACACAATAATTGTACATATTTATCAGGTGATATTTCAATATATATAATGTATAGCATATCCCTTGTCTCCAACATGTATCATGTCTTTGGTTAGGAACATTCAACATCCTCCTTTTAGCCATTTGAAACCATATGATATATTACTGCTAACTATAGTTATCCTACAGTGTTGTAGAACCATATAACTTTTTCCTTCTAGTTAGCTATAATTTTGCATCTTTTAACAAATCTCTACGTATTCCTTCTTTCCCTCAATCCTTCCTACCCTCTAGTATCTTCTGTTCTATTTTTTATTTCTGTTGGAACCACCCTTTTTAAGGAATTGTAAATTTTAATCACAATGAAATAAAACTGCACACAGAGTAGAATGGCTAAAATTGAATAGACTGAGCATACCAACTGTACTAGTCCATACTCATGCTGCTATAAAGAACTGCCTAAGACTGGGTAATTTATAAAGGAAAGAGATTTAATTGACATAGTTCAGCATGGCTGCAAGACCTCATGAAACTTAACAATCATGGCGGAAAGAGAAGCAAACTCATCCTTCTACATAAGGCAGCAGGAAAAAGAATGAGAGCCAAGTGAAGGGGGAAGACCCTTATAAAACTATCAGCTCTCCTGAGGACTTACTCACTATCATAATAGCATGGGGAAACCTGCTCCCATGATTCAATTATTTCCCACCTAGACCCTCCCACCACATGTGGGGATTATGGGAACTACAATTCAAGATAAGATTTGTGTGGGAGCACACCAACTTTTGGCTAAGATACTGAACAGTTAAGAGTTCTCAAATGCTACTGGTGGGCATAAAATAATGATACCACCACTTTGAAAAAGTATTCAGGAGTTCCTAAAAAGTTATCCACACACTGCTATATGATCCAGCCTTACTACTTATTCTGTTATTCAGAATAATAATGTATGGGGTAAAGAAAACAATTTATTGGTTGGCTTTGAGGGAGGGAGGGATGAATGAGGGACCAATTACAAAGGTGTAGAAGACAACTTCTGAGGGTGATAGATCATTATTTTGATTGTGGTGATGGTCTTGCAGATGTATATTTATGTTAAAACATCTAATTATACAGTTTAATTATGTGTAGTTTATTACATGTAAACTAAAATTTGGCAGAGTTGGTAAAAGTAAACAAAATAAAGCAAAATATATTTGGTTGATATGTTTAAGTAAACAAAGGCCAAATCGAGAAGACCAGTCAGAAAAGCAAAATCAATAGTCCAGGTCAGGAATTACAGTGGTTCAGATCAAAGCGGTTTTCATGCACTTTGGAGTGTAGTACCATGGTAAGATCTTAGATATATTTGTTAGAAGAACCAATATGATTTTCCAATAGATTAGATAACAGATTTGAGAGAAATAAATAAATACATTAAGTTTGTAGAAGTATTTTAAATATATATATATAGTAGTTAATGGAGATAAAATGAAAGCAATTTTTGTTTTAGGGAAATCGTCAGGAGTTCCAACACTGAGAGGTTAATTTTAGATACCTATTAGATAACGGAATGGAGTTGCTTAGAAGACAATTGGATGTATAAGTTTCAAATTGAAGAGTGAAGTCTAGATGACAGATATAAAATTGGTAGTTGACATATAAAGATATAATGGTAATAATAATAGTTATGACAGCTACTAGCATGTATTGAGTATTTGCTGAGTTCCAGGTGAAATGCTTTAAAAACATTTAAATCAATTTTCTCTGCAGCCATGTAAAGTCAGTATATTGAATTTGGCCCAAATGTTGCAGATGAGTAAACTACTGAAGCAGTTAAATTGTTCAGACTGGTACATGAAGGAGTAAGAGCTCATGGCACGTCTCTCTGAAATCAAAGGCTGAGGTCGTAATCCTTAGACTGTTCTGTTACCCACAGCAAAGCAAATATTTACTTCAACACCAGATGTGAATGAGTGGATGGATTTATGGATGAATGAAATGTACGGATAGAGTCATTTGTATAAGTCTAAGCAAAACAATTATTAGTGAAAAGCACCAAGTGTTCTAAGAAGGCAAGGGAAAGAACAATTAAATCTGACTGAGGAGATTTGAGAAGTCAACATAAAAGAGTTAGCATGAGTGCTGCAGATAATAGGATGTTGTATAAAAAGAGGAGAATAGCAGTATAGTGACAGGACAGCAAGAGCAATGACTTGAGATATTAAATGGCCTGTCAAGATCAGACAGAGATAAAGAGTGAGATTCAGCTGGACCAGAGGGGCAAAGATGGAAGTAGTAGAAGGTGCATTTAAAGAGATCTGAGGAAGGCTAGCATCGCAGTGCTTGGCGTGATGTGCGAACATGCTTCACGTAGATCCGCTGTGGTGCACAGCTGGAGGGTTGCTATGCTTAGATAATATGATTGAACAAAATCTGTGAGCAAACAACTCTTTAAAAAAAAGGGAAATTCCTTGTAACCATCAGTCACTGACTATTTATTGATAAAATTAAGAGAATCTGTCACATATAATATATACTTTTAAAGATTTTGGTACTACCTTACCATAATTACAATTACTATTTCCATCAAGAGGGAAATATGAGATTTTCAAACACTTATTTAGCTGCTTATTTAGCATAATAGTATACTTTGTGAGAGCTAATTCTGGCTTTGTAATGTGACATATCTCTTGTATTTAAATATTTTATATACTAAATATATGTTAAGATATTTAAATATATATATCAAATAAATTAATAAGTTGAATATTTTAGTAACTGAAATGATCCCAGGAGTTTCCTAAATACTTTATTTTTTTCATTTTCTTGTTTTTAAGATGAAAGCACTAAAACACAAGTAAACCATGCAACCATTAATAAGTTCCATAAATTGAGATCATTTAAAAATAGTTTTTCTTCCACTATCCACTTTTATTCTGACTTAGACCAAGCCAAACTAAACATTCATCTATTTCCTGTGATTGGAACTTCATGGAATGTACTTAATATGGCAAACAACATATATGAATTGTTTATGCATTGCCTTTAGTCTGAAATGATCTTAAATAAAGTTGAATTAAAATTAAAATTAAACTGGTTGAGTATTTACTGTATTGGGAACTGTGCCTTACACATGCCAGCCTTTTTTTTAGGTTCATAGAATTACAGATATTGTGGCTTTGAATTCTTGCAAGAATCTTACAATGTAAGTATTCCCAAGTATTTTTTTATGTAAGAAGAGATGAGGTTAAAAAAAAAAAATCTCACAGGGCAATAAACTTCAGAGTCTGGATTCTGTTCCTAGTTTATCTAATGCTGATGACTTTGCTCTAAACTGCTGTGTAATATGGGTGTCCTTAAAGACCAGCTCAAAAGGTAACCTTGTTGAGCTACTGAGCTACTTCAACCTCCTCCTTGTGAATAAAAAGTAATCCTTTCTTCTTTTGGTGGAAGAATAGTCAAGAAAATAAGGTCTAGAAGTAATACCTAAACATTTGCATTCTAGTTTTTCTCATTATCATTCATATAAGCTAAGAGCATCATGACTTAGGATTTGGGGATAGTACAAGCATCCTTTATCTTCATGTAGACTGTCTGATTTATTTGGTCAAACTTTGACTTCGCACCCACTTCACTTCTGTGGTGAATGCAATTACAATATTCTGCAGTTTTATTATTTTTATTTTATTTTTCTTTTCTTTCTCAAAAGGGGTTGCAGGTGTATAGCTGATGTGTGTGTGAGAGAGAGATTATATATCTATGTAAGCTAAATAAAATGTAATTTACATTATATACATATATATCTATACAATTTACTAACCTAGCTTACTTTATTTATTTTTACTCTTCATTACTATTCAACATGACATCTAGACTTTTACCATTGATAATAATTCCGTGATCAGTGATTCTTCGAGAATTTACTAGAATTGCATAGTATTTTAAAATTAAAATAAAGAGAAATGGGTACACCTAACTCTTCTCAAAAAAAAGTCATCCTTAAAATTGCCACTACATTCTTCCTAATGAAATCTGTGAGGCTTGATTATTAGAAAAATATTCAAAACAAAATTTTTAAATGACTAATGCAATTGCTAAATTGATTAATCAAATAAAGCCAACAATTAAAATATATTTGCATTATTCTTTACATTATATACAATGTACATATTCATCTGCTGCCAAGATACTATTATGATTGTCTTCACATTGTTTTTTACTTACCTGAGAGTCTGTTTTTCTGTTTTTCCTGAGTTTATTTCATGCAATTGGTGGGGGAGGAAAGTAGTGTTACTTACTCATCAGACTACAACACTGACAAAACAGACCTTGGGTGGAATGGTTCTTTCGCTACCTTCACAGAGTGAGCTTAAGGGAACACAGGAGTATTAAAGAGAGAATGGGGTAGGGAGAAAAGTGAGATAAAATTATGCATCAAGGAAACCAACTAAAAAATGAGAGTAAGCATGTGACAGAAGGTTTTATTAATGTTCTGTTATTGCTACTGCTACTGTTATTGTTGTTCTTCATATCTTTTAACTTCTCTGAAAATCAAACATACAAATTTCTTAAGATTTTTATATTAGCAAGAATCCTACCATCCAGGGAAATAAGTATTCTAAGCATTTGAGACCACTTGAGGGCACTGTGGCATTGCATTTTGGTAAAGTGACCTTTTAAGAGTCAACTCAGGGAACATAATCTAGCTTTTCAAAACCCAGAATAAGCACACACAGGTACTCTGGGGTAATGTCTCTACAGGTGGATAGGCATAGCTCTGTGGACATATAAATCAGTTAGTGCCCCACTGAGGCAGCTCCGGACCCGATTGCTTTCCACATCTGGCCGTCCCTGTATGTTTTGGATATTTGCTTTACTGGTTGCTCAGGCTGAGCTATCCTATTATAATTTTCCAATTGCAGTGATAATGGATCATTCTTGGCATTTCCCACTCATTAGATGGATTAATTTAGGGGCATTTTCTGTCCTTGGTATAATCATTGAGAAGGGAATGAGAATAGCTGCTGCATTGGATGAATTACAGCACAGGGTCCAGAACTTAGATGTGAAAAAAGAAAGGGAGAAATTGAGGATGGAAAGAGAGGTGAAAAGGGGGTTGGTGAGTGAGTGCGTTCCTGAGGCTTAGCTGGGCAAAGGAAAACGTCTCAGCTTGCTGACTGGGATCAGAACCAGTGGTAGGTCACAACAGAATACAGTGCTAACATTGGAAAAAGTTTAAATGTATGCTAATAGAGCTCCATCCTTTCATACAGTAACTTTCCTTTTCATTAAAAATACACTGACTACAATAAAAAGCATGGAGCTCTTTTACTTGCCATTTGCATTTTTTTACATTTATAATTCTTGTAATACAAGAAATATCAAAGACACCTTGAGTTTTAGTCCTGTTTCTCAAATACCCTGTATCAGTAACTTTGTTTGATAAACATGTTTTGAACAACTACGCTATGCTCAGCATTGTGACTGGAATGAGAAATACAGAAAATCCTAAGAGCTCCTCCTACCCTTAATCAGGACACTTTATGAATAAATTGGAATGCATTTTTAAACAAATGAAACAGTAGTACAAAATGAATTGGCTTCTTATGATCTCAGATTCTTATCTTCTAATGGTATTTAAAAGCTGTAAAATTCTGATTCAACATCTTCTTGTCTTGAGTAACGGGAGCTTGAGAATGAAAAAAGCAGCCTCCAACTCCACCCATTTGATTAATTAAAATTGCCAACAACCTTGAGAGAGTCCCCTGTGGCACAGATGAAATAGTGAGCATAGCTTCAGTTTTTGACATATATGTGTTGAAAAATCAGAAGGAATCTTGTTACCAGAGAAAAAGAAAAGCCATAGTAGGGAGTGTGACAGAGTTAAAATAAAAAAGAAGGTGGGAAAGAATGGCTTTTTAAATATTTATAAATGGCAAAGAACATTTAATACAGCTTCACATAAATGTGGGATCATGAAGCCTTTGATGGGTCTATAACATGGCTCTGTATCTCATAAAACATGGAAGATGAAACTTATAAAGATTTAGAAGACAGTCTCAGAATGTCATTAATGAATGATGAGAAAGAAAATACAAAGGAGGAAGCTGGATACACGGACTTGTACTGACACCTTTGATAAAAGGTACTTTCTGCTTCAAATAAGAGGGCATTATAATTTACAACGAATAAGAATGAACAATTCTGTGATCGATAAGAAAAGGTAATAGGAAATGGTGGCTAAACGAAAAACTGAGCTAGTTAAGTGAAAATCTAAAAAGAATTATTTGAAATGATATAAATAAGCCAAGCTGAAAGGAAAATTTCTGAACAAGGTAAGAAAGTGATTTTCTAAAAATATGTATGTATTTTTGGAAGCCTCCTCAGCAGGTAGCCAGCACCCTGTCTATGGTAGTGCCAAATAGAAACTAGACAACCATTTGAGGGGATGTGGTACAAAGAATTTTAAAGTCACCTATGAAGGCTGTCATGTCCCAAGATCTACAGACATCAAGATGGAGGCCCCAGAGAGCTAATGATATAGTCCCAGTCCAAGTCCAAAAACCTGAGAGCCAAGAAAGCCAGCAGTCTAAGTTCCAGTCTGAAATCTGGCAGGCTAGAGACCTAAGAAGAGCTGATATTTCTGTTGGAGTGAAGGCAGGAAAAGACCAGTGTCCCAGCTGAAAGCAGGTAGGCAGGAAGAGCCTCTTCTTACTCACAGGAAGATCAGCCTTCTTGTGCTATTCAGGCCTTGAACTGATTGGGTGAGGGTTCCCCACATCAAGAAGGAAAATCTCTTCTAGTCATTCTACCAATTCAGTGTTGATCTCATCCAAAAACACCATCACAGTCATACCCATAATAATATTTGGCCAAATATTTGAGCACAATGTTGCCCATTCGAGTTTGAGCAAATATCTGGGCACATTGTGGCCCAGTGAAATTGACATTAGCAAGATATACTACATAGAAACATGGAGAGATGTTGACTAATGACGTTGTCAAAAAACAGTATCAGAATTAAAGGCAGGGCAAACACTACGATGTTAAAGGTCAGAAAAAAAATCACATATGGTAAGCATGGTTTACATGAAGGAGGTACACATTTCATGTATGTTGATTCATTTACTTTATTTTAGTTAATTTGATTTGTCTGAATGTTGTCATTCCTCAAAACCTGCAGGCCCTAAGTCAAGGCTGCCTTCTCTTTGGAACTTCCTGATCAATTCTTACACAACTTATAATTAGGTGATCTGATATTCTAGAAACTCCACAATTGAAAAACTAATCTTGTGCCCTAATGGAAGGGATCTTATACTGTTACTCATTGCAACCATTGCTGTCAAATTCCAAGATGTTCAACCTTCAGTTTGCTTTGCAACTAAAGAAATACAAGAGCTAGTCAAATTGTAGAAGTATTCAAACTGGAGAATTCAAACTGAGGTTTTTTCCAGAGACCTCAGAATTAGATGACAGCCACAAGCAGACAGCTACCCCAAGAACCTCAGAACAACTGGATGATGTCACAAGGTGACATCCAGAGCAAAACACCATGAAACAAGATCCAATGGAATACCCCTCTCTCCTTATTTCCTGTTTCGTTTTGTTTTTTGTTTTGTTTTGTTTTTGTTTTGAGACGGAGTCTCACGTCTCACACTGTTGCCTGGGCTGGAGTGCAGTGGTGAGATCTCAGCTCACTGCAGCCTCCACCTCCTGGGATCAAGTGATTGTCCTGCCTCAGCCTCCAGAGTAACTGGGATTACTGGCACCCACCACCAGGCCCGGCTAATTTTTTGTATTTTTAGTAGAGACAGGGTTTCACCATGTTGGTTAGGCTGGTCTTGAACTCCTCACCTTGTGATTCGTCTGCCTCGGCCTCTCAAAGTGCTGGAATTACAGGCCTGAGCCACCAAACCCAGCCTATATCCTGCCTCTTTATCCTTACTGTTTGCCTAGAGACTTTCCTGTTCTTACCACAATAACTCCCTTTCTTCACCATTACTTTTTCTCACCTGAGATTAGTCTTCACCTTCCTTTTCTTGTCCTTAAAGTTAGAAGCTCCTGTGCTCATCCCCCATTTCTTTCCTTTTGTCACCTCTCAGGAAGACAACTTCACCCACAGAAGCTTTGGAAAGCTTGGGACCAACTCTTCACTATTTTTTAAAATACAACAGACTGTTAGTATTACAAATTCTTATCCATGATCACATGTGGTATTTCCCCAATCCTCTTCATCAATCAGTATATCTGTTTTGCTATAGCCCTTCCATTCCCTCCATTATTTTAAACTGGGCAGTTACATTGTGACAAACCCCCCACACTAACTCCAATCTATCTTCACAAGGAACAGGTTTGTTTCTGTAATAATTTTACCACTAGCACCTTTTTGGAAATGAGCATTTGTCATTACATTTACCTAGCAATCAATAAATCTTATATAAGGCCCCAAGATGCTACGGACTCCTTAGATATCCCTCAAATAAATGGAAGTGGCCCCATTGTCCCTCCTAGCCTAATGCTTTTGACTCAACCGAAACACACATAGACAACCTCTTTCAAATCCTTTTCCTACTCTCAAATTGCAGTCTTTGGTCATGTTCAGACATCAGCTAACTATTTATATCACCCTTGATTAGGTACTAATAATTCTTATTTTGTAAGTGGAGCCCAAGTCTATTGATAGTGTCTATTGATAGCTACCAGCCAACCAGACTGGATCTTGTTATCTTTCCATTCTTATAAATTTCTTCATATTGCTTGTTTTTCTGAGATTTTCTTCCTATCTTGAACCATCTCTAAAGTAATCACCCATCCCCTCCAGTTCACCTTACTCTCACTATAAAGACAAAGGCAGTGTCCAAAAGATCACAAAGACTTTTATAGGTGATCTTGGTTCCTGAGGACATGATTTAGAAAAAAATAGCTGCAGAACTGGGCATAAATTCCATCAATAATCTCATTAATTTTTGGGAAAAGTTTGCCATCTTTTGGATACCATCCCTTGGAATCTATCACTCTAAGAAGTTACACTCAACTACAGATTCATTTACTCATTACTGAAGCAATTCCCCATGTCCCTAGACAATATCACTACTGATCTTAAATCAGTGATTCACCAGTTGCAAGAAACCCAGTATGCTCTTCTCACAGCCCCATTGCCATAAATATGATGCTGGCTACAGAAGAGAGAAGCACTTGTGTAGTGGTTGGAAGTGATTGGTCCTGAAAATCGTTCTGATGTTTCTCTAATAATCAGGAAAGCTCCAGAGGTGAATTAAGAGACGCAACGCATCATGGCCTTTATGCATAAATTACTGAGGAAATAATACAGGTCCCAGGACTTCTTCTGGTGGATCCCTGAAGGTGTGCAAAGTTGTGCATACAGATTGATTCAGCTTGTAATCATTGTCCTTCTCTTTATAAGCTTAAGTATCCTTTTCATTAAATGTCTCATGGGTGACACAATACACAAGTCAAAAGCCAAGTCTCAACAGATGGTCAGCTGTTCCTAAACGAACAAAAGGTGACTGAATGAGAAACAGACTCATATTATTCAGAAAAAAAAGAATACATTTTCTTCCATTGAGCAAGAAGGGGGATTCTGTCAAAAATTCTTTGCTTGACCTAAATTTATTTAGGCTTCTAAATTTTCTCTAAGGCTCATTTGTACACGTTCTTGTAAAATTCAGTATAGCAAATAACCTTGCTACCATGAACCTCTGCCTTTGGTACATGATAACCCTCACACCTGATAAAATCTTCCCACCCTTGGTATCTGATCACGCTAGCCTGCCTTCAGCAGGAATCCTATTTGGTTGGTTTAGCAAGAATTTCCACTGGATTTAATATTTGTTCTTTGTAATTTTTCATCCACCAACTCCTCTGCTTCTGAACTATAAATCCCCAGTTGTTTCTGCTATACTTGGCATGGAGGCCAGTTCTGTGCTGGGGTCTCTCTGTCCCTATGACAATAGTCAAAAATAAAATGGGTTTACTCCACTTTAACTTCTGTCCAACACTGATTTTCTTTGACACAATCCAGTTCAACTATCGATCTCCAGAATTAGCAGTCATCTTTCTATGATGAATGAAATGTTTTCTAGTATTTTGACAGATGGTATTTATTAAATAATTCTTTCTTTATGGAATAATTTAGATTATTGTCTTTTTTCTTGTATTATTCATAATGCTGCATGAAGCAATTCATTAATGTAGTTTCTGCTTCTGTTGAAATATATATTTAAGATAAATGAAAATAGTGAAATAACTTGATGGATGGTTAGAAACATCATTATAGTTCTTGCTACAAACTACAATATTGCTTTACAAAGGAATGTAATAGTTTAAATGCTACAGCCAGTAAATGAATGTACCAGTCTGTCACATCACCAATATTGGGTGACATTTTGAAATAACTATTTTTTTAGGTATGAGACAATGCAACTCTGTAATTTCAGTTATTATTGCTGCTATAGATGCATATTTTCTTGCTGTAGTTCTTTTTATGGAATATCTTAAGATTTATACATTTATATAGAAAAGAAAATCAATTAAAGAATAAATAACAATGTGAGGCAAATTATGGTTAACACAAACAAGATAACTACAATAAAGAGCAAAGTAGAGATATAACAAATTAGGCAATATAATTTGTCAAGGAGGTGAAAAATCTTTTCTTGGCATGGCATTTAGCATAAAGTTGGCCAAAATAAGTAGTATAAATTTGTTCTATAAAATTTTGTTATTAATTTCAAACTTTCACAGAATGAATTGTTTTAATATTGCCTTTATAATTTATGTAGTTAATTTCATTTTTTAGCACAATCCGTCACATTTATGACAATTGAGAATGAAGGAATTATATTTGGGCAGTGGTAGCAGCAGTGAGTCATCATAATGCATTGAGATAAGTTCTGACCTGGAAATAGCACATTTGACCCATATTATTTTTCTCCTGCCCTCAGATGATACCTAAGCAGTGAGCAAGTGGTTTGAAATTAGGTTGAACGTTGGCATAGGGCATGATAAAGTTAGCTGTGTTAGGTTTGGATGAGCAGTTGTAATATCATGTAGAAGAATCTTAAACCTATGTGGAAAGCCCTGCTCTAACTACTATGCATGCCTCTAAGAGATTCAGATGTGATACTGTGTTTGAAAGTAAAGCACTATATCATAAGAACATAAAATTGTTCTTTCTATTTGCATCTCATCATCTTCTACATTAGGGGATAGTTTTGTCCATTTGTTCATCACAGAGAAATGCAAATTTTGTTCATTTCAGAGTAAAGTTATCTTTATATGTTCTACCAGTAAACACACCCTTTGTACAATCTGATTCTATGAAAGCGTTTCTCCATAAATAATTGTTGAAACAAATGGCTTTTCAACTCAGGAAATTACCATCACATCAGACAAGAATGCCCTTTGAAATGCTGTCATTTTAAATAAGACCTTAGAAATAGATGTTAAATAATACAATCTTTAAATGGAAGAAAAATATGTCTCCATTTTCCTGAAGGCTTCTGCTCATATATGAATGTGAACAGACATTTCCAGACAATATTATCAAAAGTTCATGAACAATAATTGTAGTCTTTACTTGATTTCTCATTTTGCTAGTTTCTCTCAAGATTAAATGTGAAAAATGCGTCTAACATATATTTAATATACTACCCAGAAAGCATTGTGGGAGACAGATTTTTAAAAATGCTGTTCAGAAGCAATTGAAGATGTACTACACAAAGAAGTAGAGATGATTATTAATTATTGTAAGATCTGCCATGAGAAATCCATGATTGAGGTTCTGCATATCAAGTACCAATATGGCAGGTGCTAGGTATACATACACTCTTTCTCACCGAGCTACACACACACACACATATTTATATATGTACATCTGTATATATGAATGCATATATATGTACACTTACATGATATCACACACGTATTATTTTTTAGTCTTTCACCTATTGATTTTCTTTAGGAATTACTATTCTCTACTAAGTTTTCTCACTAGGATTTCAGCCTTTCTAAATCTTTGTAGATTTATTTAAGTAGGGTTTTCTGTAAGTTAACAAAAATATGATTTCCCTGGAAAAATCCATTTTTTAAAGGCAACTACAGGCATTTTCAAGATACGTTATACACTGACAAAGTATATTATAAACTTTTATTCTTATTTTAACAATACCTTCATTGCTTGAGGGGATATGGAGAAACGGGAACTCTTACACACACTGTTGGTGGGAATGTAAATTAGTATAGCCATTATGCACAACAATATGGAGGCTCCTCAAAATTTTTGAAGTAAACACTATTGAGTATATTTCCAAAGGAAAATACAATTAATATGTCAAAGATCTATCTACACTCCTATGTTTGTTGCAGGTCTATTTAAAATAGCCAAGATAGGCCATCAACCTGTTTCCATCAATGGATGAATGGATAAAAATAAAGGAGTATACATACACAATGGAATAATATTCAGCAATAAACAAGAATAAAATCTTTCCATGTGTGACAATGTAGATGAACCTAGCAGACATTAACTGAAATAAGCCAAGCACAGAGGATTAATACCACATGATCTCACTAATATGTAGAATCTAAAAATGTTCATCTCATAGAAGTAGTGAATAGAATAGTTATCAGAGGTTGGGGATAAGAGAGAGATTGAGGGTTGAGGAGAGTGAAGGAGAGGTTTTCCAAGGATACGAAGTTATAGTAGGAGGAATAAGTTCTCATGCTCTTTCGCAAAGTAGGGTGATTGTAATTGACAATTCTGTATGCATATTTCAAAACAGCAGTAAGAGAGAATTTTGAATGTTCTCACCACAAAGAAAAAATCAATGTTTGAGATGATAGATATGTTAAATACCCTGATTTGAACATAACACAATATATAGATGGATCAAAAATCACACTGTATCTACTAGGATATTATCTTCTTTTTTCCCTAAGTATCTCTTCTTTTCCCTGACCTAATGTATATGTATATTCATACTCCAGTAGGATACACTGCGATACAGTGTGATGTTTGGATCCATGTATATACTGTATAATGATCAAATAAAGCTAAAAAACAAATAAAATACATATTGTCATAGTGGAGAAAAAGAAAAAAAAATTACCACAATATTGACTGCCTAATTATGTCCCACTTTACATGACTTATCCTCAGGGCTACTTCCACTTCTTCCTTTAAGTTAGATTTATTTTTGTCATTTCATAATGATCAAGCAGAGCCCTCAGAAATCAAATGTTCAAACTCCAGCTAAAATGCAAGGAGCTATGAAATAAATATTGTTCAGTTTAACTGCAACGTTTACTACACGAAATTACATTCCCAAATGTAGAGACATGATCTCTTCCCTGACTTGAAGAAATAGAGGATATAAATGCACAGGTAAATAACACATAGTCTGAAATGATATGGTGTCACACTCACACTGTAATTGGCATCATGCTCACACTCCAATGCAGCTGGGCATTGATCATTTTTGCATCTTGAACTCTAGCAAAAATTTTATTTGAAAAATGGATTCCACAACACACACTGGGGTCTATCAGAAGGTGGAGGGTGGGAGGAGGGAGAGGATGAGTAAAAATAATTAATGGGTGCTAGGCTTCATACCTGGGTGACAAAATAATCTGTACAACAAACCCCCATGACAGAAGTTTACCTATATAACAAACCTGCACCTGTACCCCTGAACAGAAAATAAAAGTTAAAAAAACAAACAAAAAAAAGAAAAATGTGTTCCATTGTTATAATCTACCAACCTACCAAATAGTGTTGGAAAACTGCTTGTTTACCTGTTTCTCTAAAATCCTTAAAATTACAATTTTTTTTCAATGGATGAATCTCTAGTTTGAATAGATGGTAAATGTTTTTCTAGATATTATTCTCTGAGGAGGCTGTCTTTCTAAAATATTTTTCGGTAAACAAAATGTTTATAGTTTAAATAAATGTGTACGTGTGGAGATAAAGTATGTGGTAGATACCATACATTTAGCCTCCCACTGCACATTTGTGTCTATCATAAAGAATAAAATATTTAATTATCTTCTCTTTTCCCTAATCTAATAATAAGAGCAGGCACATAAGAAAGTGCATTACAAGAAAACGTTTTAAAAACACACAAAGATGTGTGGTTTTATGTGTTTACTTATTTACTTACTTATTTCTAAAATTTTAATGCTACACCTTTCTGCATTATGCTGAAAAAATAATCTTAGATTAGTCTGTAGTTTAGAAGTTTTTCCTACTCTTGGCTGTAATTTTAGTCCAACTAAAATAACGTTTTCTTCTCCAAGCTTTTTGTTGTGTTTTGTCCCAGTGGAAATTTTGATTTCCAAAATTAATTGTCTAATATTACTTCCAGATAGTGGGAGAGCTATACCATTGTAGTAATCTCACTGTTTATATATGTGGCAGAAAGTGACATGATATGCTCCTTAGTATTATGTTAAACATCAATTTTATATTAAAAGAATGAGATTGGATGGAGATTATATGTACTACATTTCATTTTGTAGGGTCACTTAAGGAAAAGCCTGTCTTTGGTCAGTATCAGAAACAGTGGCAGCCATTTTGGAAGTTAGTAACAGAATTCATCATCCTAGCTATGAACTAAAATATACTCATGGCGATTACCTCATAGCATCCATTCTATGCAGGTAATATAAAAGTTGCCGGGGATTTTGCTATATAATCCTCAATTCCTAGCCCTATGGGAGTTCAATGTAATTTTAATTATAAGGACAGCTGAATAAGGTACTAGAGAGAATTATGTCATATAACACAGTCATGAAGACAATGTTGTGAAAACCCAGGCAGTTTGAGGGAAGACTTAAGTAGAAGAGATAAAAATTATGCTAAAAAATATAGGAACTTAGCTGATGAAGGAGAAGGGGATGGAGAGTCATAATTCAAAGGTATACAAGTATGCAAAGGCAAGGAAACAGGAGAAAGCAAAGTGGGATTCAGGAATTGCTTTTAATTCAGCTTGGATGGACCACAGGGTCCTGGGGAAGAGAGACATCCATGAAGCTACAATGGTAGACAGGCTACAGATTTCCAAAGACTTTGATTCCAAGTCAAGATATTTAAAACACAATTTACAGTGTGAGATCCTTAGGATGGTATTAACAGAGTAGTAAAATATTTATACCAGATTTAAACAAATAATACTCTGAAAATTATCTCTTACTGGCAAGACTACAGAAAATTTATATTTTCTTTTTGTAACTGTCTATTTCAGAATTTGAATACATATAAGACATAATCAAAACACTTTTTTAAAAAATAGAGAGGATACTGCTAGTGGCAGAAAGGGATAAAGAATTCAATGGCTGAGTGATTTCAGATATTTTCATCACTTGGGAGACGTTTTGTTTTTATTTTAGAAACATCAAATTTTGTAAGATTTTCTCAACCAAATTTCACTTTCAATGAAATATAAAGTCATGTTTTCCCATGTTAAATAAACAAAAATGGATATAAATATTATGTTAGCATCTAAACAATGACAGGAGAACTATTGTGATCAGACTTGTAGCAGAGATTAACTCAGGTGATATTTGTATTGGTGAACTCTATACTGATTATATTTATGGTTTCTTTTAAATATTTGAACATCTATATGTTAGCTTTTGAATGCTTGTTGTAAAGTTCGATTGCACCACGGAGGGAATCATTGGCTAGAATGGATATAAAAGGCCTATTTAAGCATACAATATTACAATTCATAGAATCCATGAAAATTATACTAACATTAAAGTCATATGCCAAACACAAACAAAAACAAACATCAACTACATCAAAACAAAAGTAAAGTGTTCTTCTGATCAAATTCCAAGCTAGAAAAAATTGTTACGGAATATATTTATAGCATTTCATTTATAATACATGAAGAATTCATGAAGAAAGAGAGGCAGAATGTAAGGACTAGTGAAAATCTAAATATAGAAGACAATTTAAAAAATTTTCTGGTCACTGAAGAAAATGTTATATAATTGGAACTGCAGAACTTAGTATCACAGATAAAGGGAGCTTTAGGTTTCTGCTCTTTAAGGTTCTGGGCTTCTGTGATTCTTGTGCTACCATTATTTTCAAGTACTATTACTTATTCATTAATTATTTGATGAGCACCTAGTATGTACTAATAAAGGTTTTCTTGTGTGTTAAGTACAGTTAGGAATAGTTAGCCATATAGATGATTGGCTAATTGATTTTTTAAGACAGATATTATTTCAAAATCCCTGGAAGCCAAGCCTTAAAGACAAGACCAGTCATGTACTAAAAGGGTCTCAGTTTGGCTCTGGAAAATTTACAAAAAATGTCTATAGTTGAAATGCAGGGAAACAAGTTCCAAGGATGAGTCTACATTCAAGGCATACTAACAAAATTAAAAGCACGAAGAGCTGGAGGGAGGTAGCTTCAATGACTTGGGCTTTATTTATTAATCACTGGCATGCTGACTGTTTCTAACAGAATAGCCAAAAGTTAAGAAAAAAAAAATCTATGTACGTTTCCAAGATAGTCCCTAAAATCTGGGGCAAGCAGGAAGCATCATAGTGATTGTAATCCATTGAATTCACTCCTTCTGAGAGTACCTACTGAGATCACTTTTTGACAAATCAAATTACACTATTCCTCTACTTAGTTTCTTTCTAAAACTCCTTGTTAGCTTCAAAATCAATTTACTACCTTATTACATCTTAGAACATTTTTTTCACTGAATGCCTACTTATCTCTCTAGCCATACCTCTCATAGTTCCCCACATCTTACTGTTACCTCCTTTCAGCTCTAAAATTGTGTGTTCTGTCTGCTCTTAGACTTTACCCCATGCTGATCCTTCTGCCCAAGATACCCTTTATTTAGCTCATTCTACTCCAAGTATCCGCTTTGAAGGCATTTTCTTCAGGAAGCATTCCATGGTCCCCTATATCTGGGTTAGGTGTCTTTTCTATGAGCTGTCAAAGTACACTTACTACTGTGATGACATTTATTGATCACCCTCAATGATTAGATGCTCATCTATTTGATCCATTTAATTGTAAATTCCATAAGGACTGGAATTTACAATTACATGAGACTTTTTTATTAGCAGTCACATTCACAGTGCTTTACAGAGAAGTCATTCAATGAGAATTTATGGAATGAGTGAATGAAATAATTAATGAATCAAGGAATTTGGGTAGCTAAGCTTGAGCCTAATGCATTCCTCTTAAAAAGAATTGGAGATAAGGAGCAAGAGAAAACAGAACAGAGGATTCCTTCTCTGCCAGTACCATCAAAACATTTCTCTACTTTTTATCAGATGCCTGTTTATAAGAATATAAGCTTAACCAGTAAGATAATTCCAACGGTTAATTTTGCTCCTTGGATCAAAAAGACTTCCAATTATCAGGGAGTTATTGATCATCAGCTTAAAACAAGATTTTGCAAAATACTCATCAGCAGTTGTCCTATATTTATGGGTTCACTAAAAGGAAATATGCATATGAGTTTGGGATAGGAACAATGTATGCATAAATATAAAACTGACCTTTTTTCAATATTTTATTCATTTTTTCTCAACTACATAAAGTTTCATAAAAACAACTATTGCTTTTTGAAGCAAACTTTATAATCTCTGGCAACATAGTATGATAACAGACATATACTAATCTTTCTTTTATGAATATTATATTACAGGAGTTTAAACAGAATCTCATAGTGAGTTATATATATATATTACTATACCATATATACTACTATTACTATAATATACATAAAAGCATAAGATATGTTTCAAATTTATATTTATATTACAAAATATTTTCACGATTATAAGAGAAATGCATTATACATCCTGGAGTGTTTGGCTTATCACATAATTGAATCCAAGAAACTTTATTCTGCCATAAGCTATGTGACTTTGGACAGAATATTAGGTCTCTTGTACCCAGTGGTTTTGTTCATAGGTGAGGGAATTGAACCATACAACCTGTTAAGTTGCTTTAGGTTGTATAATCCAACTACTTTGAAATGAGAGTTTATATAAATTGTTTGCTTCTCCATTATCATATATATTATTTGTTCCTGAAAAATATTCATCTCCTCATCTATTGATTCATTTATTCATTCAACATTCACTATGTTGCTAGCATAGAGTATTATAGATGTAGCATCATAACTAATACTACTATTATACTAGTAATGCTAGCACAACTGCTTCTATTCCTATTGCTACTACCAGTGCCAATAATGACCAACAATTATTGGGCAGATAGCATGTAAGTACTATCTAAATGATTTATATGTATTATTGGGTAGATAGCATGTAAGTACTAGCTAAAATGATTTATATGTATTAACACATTTAGCAGGATTATTTCTTTGTCAACATCCAGTACTAGTGTCTCAATGAAGGTGGGAGTTTAGACTGCCTAACAAGCCTTCCTTAGCTAGTTATTAACAATTTTATTTTGGAGGTCATGAAATATAAATTATATAACTTTTTGAAAGTTATAGTTTTGTTTGATTGTTTTGTTTTTGAGACGGAGTTTCGCTGTTGTTGCCCAGGATGGAGTGCAATGGTGCGATCTCGACTCACTGCAACCTCCGCCTCCCGGGTTCAAGTGATTCTCCTGCCTCAGACTCCCAAGTAGTTGGGATTACAGGTGTGCGCCAACACACCCAGCTAATTTTGTATTTTTTTAGTAGAGACGGGTTTCACCACATTGATCAGGCTCGTCTCAAACTCCTGACCGCAAGTGATCCACCCGCCTTGAACTCCCAAAGTACTGGGATTACAGGCATGAGCCACTGCGCCTGGCTGAAAGTTATAGTATTCAATGTTATTAAATGGCTGAGCTGGGATTTAAACAAAACTTTCACTCTTAACCAGTCTGGTACAGCTATCATGGTATTTTTAGTATCTGCTTTGATTTTGTTATACAGTTTTTTCTTTGAATAGGTTCAGATTTACAATATATGATCTTTACTGATATGTATCTTTAAGAAATCTGACTGTGGGGTCCTTTGAGATCTAGGGTATCTTCTAGAATAGGAAGCATATTCACAGAGTATAAAGAACGTTCCCAAAACACAAAATAAAAATTGATGCTTAGTATGTTCCTTAAGTCTAATGAAAAATAAATGAAGAAATAAAAAACAACAACAACAATAAGGTCGTCAAAAATATATTAGAGACACGTCTTCTCCTAAGGTAGAAAATAGAGCCAGTCATTGACAGAGATTGGGGCATCATGGCAAATGGAGAAGAACCACTGATTTAAAGACAGGTTGTACATCTTAGCTAAGCATGGAACGCATTTGGGAGAAAGACCTGCATACCCAATGTAAAATGAAGGGTTTCGAGAAGAATACACAAGCCACATTTGATAACAACAATTAGTCATACTTCTATAGTCTTAAACATTTTCTGGTATTCTTAGTTTTAATATGAAGTATGATTTAGCATTATTTGACAAGAGGAGATGTTAACTGAATAAGCCCTTGGTTTAGAGCACTAAGATGTAACTTGTATGCTATATGCTTTTTGTCTTCCTTACTACTCATTTTAATTATTCATTAGTCATATTAAGAGTGTCCTCATAATTTTGTTTGCATTTCCTTGTCATTTATAACATTGTTCCATGGGGGAAGTCCAACGCAAGTAAAACATTGTACACATATTTTAATCAATACATCTTCATCTTCTTGATGGCTTGAATGCTCTTAATTAATAAAATCAACTTTTATTAAGATTTCAACAGTTCTAGTATTTGAAAAGCTAAATGGGGCATGTGAGATCTGAGGATATCATGTATAATCTTTAAGTATTATTTTTTCCAGATTCCTTATTAAAGCTACGCAGTTTTTAATATCACTTAGAAAGTGATTTTCTTTGAGAAATCTGAGTGGCACATGCTTGGTTTATTACTTACAAAATAGTGGCGTCATTAAAAATTTTATGTATTTGAGCAACCAAAAGTAAAATATAAAGGGAATGAAGTCAACTTTTTTTAAACCAAATAAGTAATACTATGGGATATTTGGGTTAGAAATAACTAACTAGCAAGACCAAAAACAAACCAATTTATTCTCAATTTTGCCTTTTTCTGGGTGGAAGAATTTGGACATAACTAACCTCTTAGTGCTTCAGGGATGTTTTTAAAAATCAAAAATGAGTATTCTTTATTATGTGTACATTATTTGATTCTAATTTCTTGATTATGATGTTTTAACATTTTATTTTAAAAATAACTCATTTTTAGGCTTTCATAATTATACATTGGTATGAACCTTCTATAAATATAACAAAGATAATAAGCATCAAGATTTTGTAATGATTACATGATGAATTCGCATTTAGTATATTCAAAATAAAGCATTATGTGTGAAAGTGTTAAAAAAGTGAAATAAAAGAAATGTGTTTGACTGAGTAGGGGTAATAATTCTTACATCCTAAATTGATCTGGACATTAAATGTATGTATTTATATAAATATGTGTATGAAAAAAATTAAAATGCATAAAATACTCTGTAAATACGGGATATTTAAAATTTTCGCTCATACCTATCATAATGAAACAAAATATGGAATTCAAAATAGATAAATAAGACCAATTCATAATTTCATGTCATCACGTTTGGTAAAAGCTTCTCTCTCATTAAGCAGAATTCTTAATTTCATATTCTGGTTTTTTTTTTGAGCAAATAAATGCGAGCTAACAGGTTTTTAGATAAAACTGTACATGCTGTTAGAGTATAATGAAAATGAAATCGTGGCTTTTTTTTTTTTTTTTTTTTGACGGAACCATGCTCTTGTCGCCCAGGCTGGAGTGCAACGGCGCGATCTTGGCTCACTGCAACCTCTGCCTCCTGGGTTCAAGCAATTCTCCTGCCTCAGCCTCCCGAGTAGCTGGGACTACAGACACGCACCACCATGCTTGGCTAATTTTTGTATTTTTAGTAGAGATAGGGTTTCACCATGTTGACCAGGCTGGTCTCAAACTCCTGACCTCGTGATCTGCCCGCCTCGGCCTCTGAAAGTGCAGGAAAAGTACCTCATATATTGAATCGGTGTTGATCATTTAATTTCTTATTTTACACAAAATAAATGTATTGTTTCATTCTTCCAAATCTGGATCACTTTCCTTATATCTTTTTAAACAATTATTTTTCATTTCTTAAACTAACACTGCAAAAGATTATGATGCCATATGAAATACACCTGAAAATTATAGAAAACATATGACAACTGGACTTGAATTTAAAATCTCTCATTATTTTCTTCATTGGAGAAACATAAGGGGTACATGTTGAAATGAGTGGGAAGAGAGTGGTAAAAAGAAATGTGTTTCATATTTCAGTGTGGGAAAAATTCTTTTAAATAAATATAAGGAGTTATCCTCAATGAAATTTTTAAAATCCAGTTCTTTGCAAAACTGAGTAAAAAAAAATGATTCCTTCATCTCAAAAACGGGTCTGTACCATTAAATCTTAAATTAATAGTAGGCTCTATTCTTTGCACCACCAGATCATACATGGTATACGCATGTGTGTGGGTGTGTGTGTGTGGCAGTGGTGGGGATGGGGGTGTGTGTTGTTGGCTTCTACAGGTTAGAAATGCAAAAATCACTTAATCCAGTGCTTATAGAGAAAAGTTAATTTGGAAAAGTTCTTTGAAGTTTTTGCCCTGAAGAACATTTCTTTATGTGTTAAATTTGCACTAATTCAGCAAGTGAAACATTGTTGGAGTCACTACTGTTCTCAAGGAGTTTATTGTTTCACAGGGGAATAAAATGTATATATAATAAGATGTATATATTATGATCTTGAACTTCTGAAAATTCAGTTCTGCAATGTTATGCAAGCTCTTGGATATTCTGCTTAATATTTATGAATTTTAGATTCTTTCTCTGCAACGTGCAATGAGAATAATATAAACATTCCTAATGGGGCTCCTGTGTCATGTTTTAACTGTAATTAGCAAAACAAATTCACATGGTCTGGGATCAGCTACTCACATGCCTTTTTCTATCTTGAATGTCTTCTACAATTTAGTAGCCAAAAGCAGAAGAGGCTTTTGAACTAAAATTTGTTCACTTTTTGTGAACAGATTTTAAATAAATTAATTTACAAATAAGAGTTTGGGCTTAGACCCACAAGTGAATATGAGTGTTGAGACTCCAACTGGGCAGGAGTATTGTTTTCTCTGACATCAGCTTTATGGTTTTCTAAAAATTATTACTCAACTATAAAACTCAGACAAACTTTAATGTAAACTGCTTTCTTCTGAGATCCCTGGGCATGGAAGTGATTAATTCTGCAACTAGCCAATGATAGGGATTCAATTTCTCATCACTTTAGCCTGTAAGATCCAGCAGTGATTTTATAAACACACAAACATATAGCACGCAAACATTTACATACATACATATTTATTATATTTATATAGTATATTAACACTCTGCTTCAAATCTTCTCAATCAGAGGTATGTAAATTGCTGTAGGTAGACCTGCTCTGGTTTGTGAACATCTTATTACTAGTCCATAATAAGATAAATGTGAGTATGGAATGAATTTTGTGAGAATTTCTCACTACTACTCTAGTTTTATTTTAATTTTATTGGGTTTTGCAAGATTATCAGACTAACGTTAAATTGGAAATTACAAAACAAAACAGAAAACCACTTGCCCTTTACTGCGCATAGTTTGAGAAATACTACTTTCACTTCTATGCAAAGGTCGAACCTATCTTTTGCTCTCTCTCTCACTTTTTCTCTTCTAATCTCCTTCTCCCCCAGCATGTAGTTAGCTGACCTCACTCTTGACCCTTCCAAACCTATTTCAGCTCTCTGAGTCCTCTGTGCACTTTGTGGTGTGTGTGTGTGTGTGTGTGTGTGTGTGTGTGTGTGTGTGTGTTGATGCCTGTCACACTCTTCCTAGAGACTGCCATGTCTGGCCATCAGACTGAATTGGTGACAATTCAGTCGAGAGACACCATGCTTCCCAAATTCCCTGACCTTGAGCTCACTTTTAATCACATCACCACAGTTTATTTTTTTTAATTGTACTCATCAGACTATGAATCTTCTCTTTTACTTACTTGTTTCCCTATTTATTTTCAGATTCTCCGATCTAGAAGAGAAGCTCCATGATAGGAAAAAATCTAGTATACTTTACTTGCTGTCTAATTTTAGAACCCAGAATAGGGGCTGTGAACATAATAGGTACTCAACAAATAATGGATAGGTGTTAAATATTGAATGTCTGTACAGTCTTAACAGTTGAAAGAGTAATTGCACATACATTAAAGAGCTGGGATTACAGGTGCCTGCCACTAGGCCTGGCTAATTTTTGCATTTTTAGTAGAGACGGGGTTTTGCCATGTTGCCCAGGCTAGTCTCAAACTTCTGAGCTGAGGTGATCCACCTGCCTAATTTCCCCTGAGACTTTAAAGTCTAATAGCATAATATATTTTGTGTTAGAACTTCTCTTGTTATTTAAACTATAGTTCAGCCTTCCACCCTCTCAGAGCCACCCCCAAGCATCCCAATGCACAGTGACCTCTGCAGTCTTTAGAAACCTCATTGTTCTGTTCTTCATTTGATGCTACACAAACACACCACTGCCTTCTTGCTTAGTGCTCAGGAAAAAGATTAAGTAGAACAGGTGCTGATGCAGGAAGGTCGTTTAAGAGGCTTTTGAAGGATAGCTATAGGCAATGTTTTGACTAAGTTAGACAATCTCAAAAAGCATATATGGTGGAGAGGCATATCCTTTCAATTACAGTTGAGAAATGACATGCTATGTACTATGACCTGAATGTTGGTGTCCTCCAAAAATTTATATGTTGGAATCTAATGCCCAATATGATACTATTAAGAGGTGGAGACATTAGGAAATGATTAAGTCATGAGGCATTCAGCCTCATGGATGGGTTTAGCGCTCTTAAAAATGACACTGAAGGGAGCGTCCACTTTTGGCCTCTTCCAGCATGTGAGGAAACAGCAAGAACGTGCCATCCATGAGTAACAGGTGCTCACCAGACAGCAAATCTGCTGGAGCCTTGATCTTGGATTTCCCAGCCTCTAGAACTGTAAGTGAATTTCTGATGTTTATAAGTTACTCAGTATAAGGTTTTTGGTGTTGTTGTTGTTGTTTGTTCATTTGTTTTTATATAGCTGTCCAAATGGACTAAAACAGAGTGAAACAGAAAATAGCATCTTAGACCCAGGTTGTAGTACTCGCCTTGCCACTTTCCACCTAAGTGATCACAGATGCCTTTCTTTTTGTGAATTCATCATGTTTACAATGAAATAACAAAGTTTTTCTCAGATAATTCATTTGAAAGTCAAACAAAATACATGTGTGAAGGGAAACATCTCAAGTTCTAAAAAAATGTATTATTTCAAACCAGAAAATTAACAACAATAATGATGATGACTAGTATTTGTTATGATTCACTAGGTATGACTCAATGTACCACTCTAAAAGAACATTCAATACAATAGTTTATTAAATCCTACTAGTATCCACTCCCTATTTCTGAAATACTAAGTTTTAGAAGTTAATTATATAACAAGTAAGAGATGGGATTAAGATTCCAATCTAATATTATTAACTGGTAACCTTCATTGAATGCTTCTAGAGGTAGCCAACCTATTATATAAATTTGTGTATCCCCACCAAACTCAGCACAACACCAAACATGCCCTAGTTAGCAAGGAACTAACAGATTTATTTATTCACAGACAAGTAATGCCTTAGTGGAAATCCTAACCAACATCAGACACAACAATTGACATTATTTAGTCAGCTGTTAGTTCTAATTAACCAAAATCCAATCCATTGTTTTACATCACAGTTTATTAGTTCCTGGAGTAAAAAGATCTGTTTTCATGGTATCCTTGAATTAAGGCCCATAATATATCCATTATCAACACATTTATTTGAATATATAAGGTACCAACATTCATATTCCTGTTTTATGTATTTATTTTTAATGTTGAAATTAAAAGTGTTTTTTTTAGTCAGTATTTTGAAACTTGGAGGGACTTTTTAAATTATCTGTTTCTAGTTCAAATTAGATTTGGACTTCAGGGCAGAAAGAAAGGAAATGAGTTACCTAAATCTCAAGAAAATGTGAATGGCAGGGCTTGTACTCTGCCCTGTGTCTCAGTAATACTTGTAGGGATAGTTTTGGCTTCTGGTCTTTGGAATGGCCTTTGGTGAAGATTTAAAAGTTGCAGTAAATTACTGTTTCATGATGGATATAACTTCTAGCTCAGATGATATCATAAAAATTACCTGGAGGATGATTACGACTGAACTGCAGGATGATTAAGAATGAAGTAGAATGTTGTTACCAGCGTCTTGTACCATAATCTGTATGAGTTATTTCTTTTTTTTATTATACTTTAAGTTTTAGGGTACATGTGCACAACGTGCAGGTTAGTTACATATGTATACATGTGCCATGTTGGTGTGCTGAACCCAGTAACTTGTCATTTAACATTAGGTATATCTCCAAATGCTATCCCTCCCCCCTCCTCCCACCCCACAACAGTCCCCAGTGTGTGATGTTCCCCTTCCTGTGTCCATGTGTTCTCATTGTTCAATTCCCACCTATGAGTGAGAACATGCTGTGTTTGGTTTTTTGTCCTTGCGATAGTTTGCTGAGAATAATGGTTTCCAGCTTCATCCATGTCTCTATAAAGTACATGAACTCATCATTTTTATGGCTGCATAGTACTCCATGGTGTATATGGGCCACATTTTCTTAATCCAGTCTATCACTGTTGGACATTTGGCTTGGTTCCAAGTCTTTGCTATTGTGAATAGTGCTGCAATAAACATACATGTGCATGTGTCTTTATAGCAGCATGATTTGTAATCCTTTGGGTATATACTCAGTAATGGGATTATTGGGTCAAATGGTTTTTCTAGTTCTAGATCCCTGGGGAATCGCCACACTGACTTCCACAATGGTTGAACTAGTTTACAGTCCTACCAACAATGTAAAAGTGTTTCTATTTCTCCACATCCTCTCCAGCACCTGTTGTTTCCTGACTTTTTAATGATCACCATTCTAACTGGTGTGAGATGGTATCTCATTGTGGTTTTGATTTGCATTTCTCTGATGGCCAGTGATGATGAGCATTTTTTCATGTGTCTTTTGGCTGCATAAATGTCTTCTTTTGAGAAGTGTCTGTTCATATCCTTTGCCCACTTTTTGATGGGGTTGTTTTTTTCTTGTAAATTTGTTGGAGTTCATTGTAGATTCTGGATATTAGCCCTTTGTCAGATGAGTAGATTGCAAAAATTTTCTCCCATTCTGTAGGTTGCCTGTTCACTCTGATGGTAGTTTCTTTTGCTGTGCAGAAGCTCTTTAGTTTAATTAGATCCCATTTGTCAATTTTGGCTTTTGTTGCCATTGCTTTTGGTGTTTTAGACATGAAGTCCTTACCCATGCCTATGTCCTGAATGGTATTGCCTAGGTTTTCTTCTAGGGTTTTTATGTTTTCAGGTCTAACATGTAAGTCTTTAATCCATCTTGAATTAATTTTTGTATAAGGTGTAAGGAAGGGATCCAGTTTCAGCTTTCTACATATGGCTAGCCAGTTTTCCCAGCACCATTTATTAAATAGGGAATCCTTTCCCCATTGCTTGTTTTTCTCAGGTTTGTCAAAGATCAGATGTTTGTAGATATGTGGCATTATTTCTGACGGCTCTGTTCTGTTCCATTGGTCTATATCTCTGTTTTGGTACCAGTACCATGCTGTTTTGGTTACTGTAGCCTTGTAGTATAGTTTGAAGTCAGGTAGCATGATGCCTCCAGCTTTGTTGTTTTGGCTTAGGATTGACTTTGCAATGCACGCTCTTTTTTGGTTCCATATGAACTTTAAAGTGTTTTTTTCCAATTCTGTGAAGAAAGTCATTGGTAGCTTGATGGGG
The DNA here is from genome assembly GCF_000001405.40 of Homo sapiens. NCBI lineage: Eukaryota > Metazoa > Chordata > Mammalia > Primates > Hominidae > Homo > Homo sapiens. The sequence continues at coordinate 63,483,736 of NC_000016.10, forward strand.
ATGTCATCGAATCTATAAATTACCTTGGGCACTATGGCCATTTTCATGATATTGATTCTTCCTACCCATGAGCATGGAATGTTCTTCCATTTGTATCCTCTTTTATTTCATTGAGCAGTGGTTTGTAGTTCTCTTTGAAAAGGTCCTTCACATCCCTTGTAAGTTGGATTCCTAGGTATTTTATTCTCTTTGAAGCAATTGTGAATGGGAGTTCACCCATGATTTGGCTCTCTGTCTGTTACTGGTGTAGAAGAATGCTTGTGATTTTTGCACATTGATTTTGTATCCTGAGATGTTGCTGAAGTTGCCTATCAGCTTAAGGAGATTTTGGGCTGAGACAATGGGGTTTTCTAGATATACAATCATGTCATCTGCAAACAGGGGCAATTTGACTTCCTCTTTTCCTAATTGAATACCCTTTATTTCCTTCTCCTACCTGATTGCCCCGGCCAGAACTTCCAACACTATGTTGAATAGGAGTGGTGAGAGAGGGCATCCCTGTCTTGTGCCAGGTTTCAAAGGGAATGCTTCCAGTTTTTGCCCATTCAGTATGATATTGGCTGTGGGTTTGTCATAGATAGCTCTTCTTATTTTGAGATACGTCCCATCAATACCTAATTTATTGCGAGTTTTTAGCATGAAGAGTTGTTGAATTTTGTCAAAGGCCTTTTCTGCATCAAAAAGCTTATCCACCATGATCAAGTGGGCTTCATCCCTGGGATGCAAGGCTGGTTCAACATACGCAAATCAATAAACATAATCCAGCATATAAACAGAACCAACGACAAGTTATTTCTTAATTAAGCTTTTTTTTGTCATTGCTATTATTATTCTATTGTTGCTGCTATTGTCTTATTGAGCAATTAGGAAGCTGTTAAAACCTTGCCTGGCAGAAATTCTCCATGTATTGGCCTTTCTTCAACTTAAATAGATATCAGTGTTTCAGGGAGAACTTACTGGAGTCAATATTAAAGGAAGGTGAGGCTGCAGAGAGATAAAAAATGGTTGAAGGGCACATAGAGTGAAAGAGATAAAGTGAACTCAGATTTTCCCATGCCCATTCGCATCTGGTTTTTTCTTCTTTTTGCAATTGTATGTAAAGAAGTGACCCTTTTCATTATATTATTATTATATATTTAATTACTTTTATCTATAAAAAAGTACAATGCTAAGTACTTTTAGTTGAAATATGTTTATTATTTAATGTTCACCACTAAACAGGGAGGGAGAAATATTATAACCATTTTGTAGCAAATAAGTAAAATATCTAAAACCTCCTGTCTCCCTGGATTCCTCTTTCGTATGGATGGTGTATTTGGAGCCATCAAAGCCCAGAGAAGGACTCCCTAGAACTAGCACACCAGATGGAGGAAGTAATAGGGATTCAGAAGGTTTCTGTTGCTTAGCAAAAGACAAAAGGGGAGTGATTCATCCAGAGATGACCATTTTCAGGGTCAAGCATTAATTAAATAAGCCGCCTACTAAATATCAGAGGCAGTAGGAACAGGAAGATCAGGTACACAAGGAATGCTGACATATAGACCAGACGGAGTCAGTGAAATGGATAGCATGCTGCTTAATTCTGTGGATGCCTTCACCCTACTGACAAGAGGCACAGGATTCTTCTCTCACCCAAAAATCTTGCAAGTATTAGGTTGGTGCAAAAGTAATTGTGGTTTTGGCCACTAAATTGCAAAAACTGCAATTACTTTTACACCAACCTAATAGTAAGATTAAGATGTAGTCCTCATAGATCCTGAACAGTCATCCCTCAAAATCTAATTATTACTTAACTATACCTCCTCTCTTGCTCTAGTGGTCACTATTTGGAGGAAAGTTTGGAGTGCTGTGTACATTAAGAAGTCCATATTCCTAGTAGATAAACTGTAGAAATTATACTTTATTTTTCTTTCAAAGTTGAAATCTGTGTTACATTGCATCCTGCTCCTTTAATACTTGTTCAGTAGCCAATGGTGCTAGCCATTATACTGTCACAGAGCACCTTTTTCCAAAATAAATCACAGTCTATGGAAACTCATTACATATAATTATTATAATTTCAGAAACTCTGAGTTCTATTTTTTCTCTAATCTACCTATTTTAATTTTTGAAATAATATTGATATATTATTAATTAATGTGAACTATGGATAATCAAATATATATTATAATTACTAAACAATAATGGAATATACTTAATCAACAAGATACCTCTTGCAACCCTATGTTTAAAGATGAGTTTATTTATTTATTAAATATTTAAACCAAGTTTTTTAGCATTTCAACAGTAAAGGACCCATTATTAACCCATAATGTCTTAGACACTTAATTGACCATATCTGTACATATGTTGTATTCAGTTTCAGAAATTACATGGAAAATGTCTCTGTCTGTACAGTTCTAATTAACCAGATGTCTCCATGAGGTTTTGAAATTATCCTTTTTATAGGTTAATGTTTTAGTCAATATATGTGAAACAGGACTGATTGATCAGTAATTACCCATGAGCACTCACCTAGATCAGTGGTGGTGTGTTCCAGAAGGCAAAGACTCTTTGTCCAAGGACAGTTACCCCTACATGCATTCCACATTCCTTAACATTTCTTAGCTCTATTTGCATTCTTTGATGCCCAAAGCCAGATTCTGCCAGTCACTGCAACTTGTCTCCTGTCTAGTTACACAATGAATTAAATATCCATTCCCCTTATTTGGAAAACATTTTTTTCCTCATGTCCAGAAATCTGCATCCACCTAATAGGGTAAGATTGAGGACAATGCATAAAACACATTGTAATTTTACAGAAATTATGTAAACTTGGTAAAAATTTTGAGAACCCATTCAGGGAAAAAAAATAAAAATAAAATAAAGTTTTGTCTTTATTTCTCAAATAAGGAATGGGAATATAAGCAGTGAAGTATTTAGACAGGGTCACAGGCAGCAACTTTAAATGACAGCTCATCTCATTTCCACTGAGGTTCACAAGGCCTGCCCAGGAGGCCAGAGTTCAATCTGAATTCATCTTGCTTCTAGCATAGACAACAGTGCATTTCCCCCACATAGCTCCTTTAGCCACCACGCAGTGTTTCTCCTGGATCATGCTGAAGAGACCATTGCCAGTTCTCATTTGGTCTACAAATGTCACCTTTCACTAAGAACACTTTTGAGATCATTTGGAAGACTGAACAGGAGGACGTGCATGGAAACATAGGATGATTGAAAATGAATCAAAAGCTGATGGTTGCAAGATATTCTTTATCAGTGAAAAACAGATTTCTGATAAGTAATACCTTCTTCCAAATACTTTTTTACTTTAAACAAATAGGTAAGCTGGATCACTTAATGGTACTTGAAGCAATCAGAAATACAATAAGCTTAATAAAGTGCCCTCTTCAGCTTTTAATCAAACAATTTAAATTAAGTAATCTTCGGGTAACATTTCTTGAACACTTTCTATCTTCTAGGCACTATTAAAGTACTTTAGATGTATTAATTCATATGATATTCCCCATATTTTCAAAAGGTAGATACTAGTTATATTCCTTTTTATAAAAAATAAAAATAAAACAAAGAAAATTTTACTGGAAGCAGCTCACTTTTGTCACTTGGATGGCCCTTCAGAAAAGTCCCAAACTGAGCCAGGAAGGTAGGTCTTGAACCCCTGCACTCAGTTAAATTGAGTTCCTTCCCATAAAAGTGAACTCTTAGGAATGAATCACTTTATTCTGTTAAGAGCAATTACAGGGGAAATCCTCGCCCATCAGCAGTCAGCAGACACTTTTAACTACTAGGAGAACTGGTGCCTTTCTCTTGGAGGTGGATTTCAGTCATGCACTAAAACATCCACTACTCAGACGAAAGGATAAACCCTAGATGTATAATGAAGCCACGGATATATGACTATATAAACTAATGAATAAAGAGATGCTTGGAATGTATCTGTCTGATTTATCATCTGGAAAGAAGAGTTACTTAGTCCTCCTAGGTTAGAATCATATTTAGCATATTCAGATTTTTGTCTTCCATTTAGAAAAGGAAGCACAATCTGAATTATCGTTAATAAACATTCACGCATTCCAAATAATGACTTTGCAACATGAGAGCCACCTAGTGAAACAGGAAGTAGTATGTATTTAGTGCAGATGATTGGCTGTCTGAGACAAATAGAAGAAAGTGGATTGTCTCAAAATATCACCACAAAGAGTAATAGCTCTAGAAATCATACTGAGGTTAGATTGCAACAAATCAGAACAATAGAGGAAGAAGGAAATTGTCATATCATCAGCTCTGTGCTATGTCTTTTACATGTATTATCACACTTATTCCTTAAAACTACCTGCATATCAAAATGCCATAAGAAGTTGAGAAAATAAAGGTTCAGAAAGGTAAAGTAAGTTGTCCAATGTGATACAGCTAAGTAATGAATCTTGTGGTTAAACACAGATATGTCTAGATCAAAATCCAGTTGTCTACAAAGGCTAATATTATGTATTTACGCTTCTTTAATACTTACATGTATATGTCTCTAAATTTCACAAGTTTATTATTAAACAGTCACAATTGCAATAATTGACATTAACACCCATTTTACAGTTTGCTATAAATGTTATATTCAGAATTTATTTTTTATTTGTTCTTTGTAACTTGATTGAGAAACAAAGCAGACATGATAATCTTTAGTTTACAGATGAGAAAGTTTACACTTAAAAGAGGCCTCTTTTCTCTTTCAATTCTCTGGCTGTGGAACCATTTCATCATCCATCTGAAATGGTGGAATCCCACCCTCTTTTGTCAGTAGAGCTGATGCCATTCTGGATATTTTAGGCAGTTTGGGTCAGATTTTCACAGATTAAAGTGAGCAGTATATAGAGGAGGCACAGCATGTTGTGGCTTATGTGTTTTGTGATGCTTTCTCTCCAAAGTTCCACACAGAAAACTTTCAAAGAGGCTAAGTGATTTATCCAAAGTCACTCAGCTTGGACCTGACAGTCAAACCAGAAAAGGAGGATGTGTGTTTCAAAATAATTTATCATGTTCTTGACACAACGGCTATAGCTCTTGATGTGCAGGAAAAGCAACTGTTTCTTATTTGTTCTGGGTTCTTACTTCTAAGATGCTTAACCTCTGCTGCTCTCACACTGATGACAAAAAGGTGGAGCCAAAGTCTGATGAGACCTGAGACAATTTTTTGTCCCAGATATTGACTATATTTGTCTCTCTACTCCTGGAATCTCACTGAGTGATACCAGACAGCATGTTTTTTTCCTCTGTGGAAATGTAGATCATTTCACTTGCCATCAGAGGAAAATTAAAAAAAACAACAACTGATGCTTTTTCTCTCTCTGCTGTGTCTCTTAGTTTATATGAAATTTTTTGAAGTCACATGACCTTTGCTTTGATCACTTCCAATTGCACTGCACCCAACAATCTTTGTATTACTCATTTTTCTATGTCAAAGAATTTGTTTAATCTTCAACTTGTTCTGTTGGATAATTACTTTAGAGAAACTTTAACCTTGTATTAGTCAAGTAATTCACATGTTCTCTGGAATTCACTTTAATAACTCCATTATTCCTATTTTTGAAAAAAAAACATTTAAAGTCAGCTCTTTTTTTAAATTCCCCTTTTTCTTTCTCTTTCAACAGTATATTTAGAGCTGCTTACTTATCTGTATAGGGATTGATTCAATGTAAGCCACTTATTTGTTTAATCATCTATTCATTTGAAATGTGTTGAGTGCCTGCTTTAGGTGTATATTATGAACAAAATATGGTAAAAAGAAGAGATGAATTAATAATTTTCATTTCCCTCAAAAAGTTTATGTTCTAAATCAGTAAACACAGAAGACAAATAATTTCAACACATTGTGGTAGGTACCATAATAGCAATATGTGAAGATAGCAATTAGGGAAAATTTAATTCTGATGGTAGAATTCAAGGGAATATTCATATTACAGGGGACTCTTGAGATGATTGATTGTAAAGGAATGAGCAAGGAGAACATAAGGGTAGGAGGACCTGGAAACATAGCACTAAAGACTGGGAGAATGGTGATTTATAAGACTAAGAATAAAATAACCCCAAATCTACATTAGTTTTCATCTCAGAATATTACAGACTGGGTGGCTTAAACAATAGAAATTTACTTTCTCATAATCTAGAGGCTAGAAGTCCAAGATCAAGGTGCCAGTAGGGTTGGTTTCTGGTGAAGTCTCTCTCATTGGCTTGAAGATGGCCACCTTCTCTTAGTGTGCTTTTTTTTGTGTGCATGTGCATCCATGCTTTTTATAAGAATATCAGTATTGGATTAGGGCCCAACCCTTATAACCTCATTTAACCATAATTATCTCATCAACGGTCTTATCTTCAAATAAAGTCACATTGAGAGTTCTGACTTTAAGTTGTAAATTTCGGAGAGACACAATTCAGTTCATAACTTTCTGCCTTCTGAACTCCTGAAATGTATGTATTTTTCATATGAAAAATACATTTACTCCACCCCCAAAAGCACCAAGTCTTAATGCATTTTAGCATCCACTATAAACACATGGTCTAATCTAAATATCATCAAAATCTGATATCGATGATGCCAGAGGGACGGTTCATCTTTTGCATAATTTCTCTTTATCTATGAACCCATGAAACCAACAAGGTATATGCTTCCAAAATACAATGGTGAGACAGGCATCCGAAAGACGCTACTTTCTTCTGAAAGGGAAACATCAGAATGAAGAAAGTGTAATGGGTCCCAAGCAAGTTCAAAACCTAGAAAGACAAATTCCATTAGATCTTAAGGCTCAAGAATACTCTTCTGGGCCCACTGGGGCAGCAAAATTGCCCCCATGGCCTTAGGCATGGATCCTACCCCCTAAGTGGGTGGTGGCCCCATCTCCAAGGCTATAGCTGTTGGTCCTGCTTCCAAGGCTCTGAGTGGCAGTTTATTCCTGAATCACTGGGCAGTGCCAGCCTGGCCCAACCCAAACCAAGGAAGAGATCACTTTGAAACTGAGGCAGAGACAGCCTTGTCACTGAATCACCCTAGGGGGCATCCTTCCCTTTTCCTGATGGGTAAGACATGTTCATAGCTAGATAACTCTATTGTCCTGTCCTGAGAATCCCAAGAGTCTGAAAGCCTACATTTATTTTATCCCCTCTCTGTCCTCTTTAGTCCAAAATTGCAGTGTTTTTGCTGATGTAGTTCAATATCCATTCCTGGTGCTGTTTATATGGCTGATTTAAATCATGGGTAATTTCTTTTTGTAGCAATTGTCCAGCCATACTCCTGGTGTTCTCTTCAGAATGCACTCTCTAATTTATTGCAATATGAATAATCTGAGAATTTTCCAAGTTTTCAAATTCTGGTTTCTTTTGCTCAGTGATATTTCAATCTATCTCTTTCTTCTCACATTTTACTGTAACGAGAAACCAAGCTTTACTTTCAATACTTCAATTAGAAATCTCCTCTGCTAAATAGCTAAATTCATCACCCTCAATTTCTACTTTCCCATTAAACACAATAATACATTTTGCCCAATTATTTGCCACTTTATAACAGTTACCTTTCCTACAGTTTCCAACAGCATAGTTCTCATTTCCATATGAGACCTCACCAGAATCACATTTAACATCCATATTCCCACCATAAGTTCTTTCAAGGCAATTTTTATTCTACCATGTGATATAACAAGAGTTCAGCTAGATAGTGAGATAGATCATTTAAATTGGGCAGAAGTCAGAAAACCACAGCGGTTGTAGGTTCTGTGAAAAACTGAAATGAGAAGGTGGCACATTGTGCTCTCTGAAGTACTGACAGAAACAGCCTTTAGGATGTGATTCATCTTTGGAAACAGCCCCTTTCGAGGTAGGGGTTTACCTATTCAGATCAGAGGGCACAAAAGTACATCAGTTACACAAGAAAAACAACTAAGAGGTTAAAGGGTGTATTCATATATACTATCATATCCTATCTGTCCTGCAATTAAAAGTGCTCATATCCTCAAATATAACTTCATAGACTCCCTCTAACTCAGAAAAGCATTGATAGAAAGCTTTGCTTTAGCTGACAGGTGTGGCCAACGAAATTCAGCTTTAGATAGGAGCCCACAAAAGACATTCAACTGTTAATTTTTCTGAGCTTTATGTAATAGAACATTTGGATAAGCTTTTGTAGTTAGAATGAAATTTCTGTCTGCCTCCTTTTTCATGAGTGTACTTCCAATTATGATACTCAATCAAGACACCCGCTGTAACTTTTTTCTTGCTTGACTTTATGCAGGAGTGGGTGTTGGGGGTGGAAAGAAGTATTTCATGTTGTTTTTGACTATCTCTATCTTTTAGGAAATTACGTTTTTCTTTTAAAAATGTTGAAAATCCAGTGAAGCTGGAGTCATGCTTGCGCTGGAGCTTGGTTCTCAAATTTTATTGTCATTAGAATTTCCTGGAGAATGTATTAGAATAGAGATTGCTGGGTTCCACCCCAGAGTGTTTCATTTAACAGGTATAGGAAGGCCCAGGAGTTAATATATCATTCTAAGATTTTCTCAGGTGATGCTGAAGCTGTTAGTCTAGGGAGGAAGTTCCAGACACTGTGTGTGTGTGTGTGTGTGTGTGTGTGTACATACATATATATGTGTCATGCATCTAACTCTACAACTAGAGGAAATGTCTAGAAAAGGACAGAGATATGAGAATCTAACAACCAGGTGTATATATTGGTGGCATATGGAGAAGCCATCTATACATTTTTCTTTGGCCTAGAGCAATAAAGCCATGTATCATGTAGGAAAATGCCATTCTCCTTACAAATCACAACTCTCATTTATTAAAATTCCAGAGGTGGGATTTGGGACCAAAGCTTTCACACATCCGTCCTTCAATCCTACCATCTATCCACCCATTTACTCATTTATTCCTTTAATATTTATGAGCAATTAATAGATTCTGTCTACAAGTAGATGATTGCACTTCCCTGCTTTGGTCCCTACATGCGTATACCTCCTTCACAATACATTGCTACGTCTTTTGACCATATTCTGACCACATATTCTAGCATGATGGCAAATGTGCTAGAAATAAGACATTTATCTAAACTTCAAATTTGCTTTTCTTTGGTACATTTTCTTCTAACTCCTTTTTTATACATTTTACTTCATTCATTTTCTCTTTAGACACTTTATCTAATTCTTAATACTCTAGAATGATCCATTGAAGTGAGCTGCAAGGGTAATTTTTTGTTGTTTCTGACTATCCTTTGGTTTATTATACACAAGTCTCTAGGTAACCTCCATTTTTCTCTTATTAAATGTATCCATGGAGGGTGTCTTTGTTAAAGATGGGCTATTCCTCACCTATTCAAATTAGGGAGCCAAACAGAGAGACGAACATACATTGAATTTACCTGGACTTTTGTAGACACTAATCTACACAAAATACTAAACATTGTCACTGGTGAGAAATCTGAGGCTTTAAGAATTAACCTGTGCATATGTCAGGAAGTTCATTTATGGTGAAGATGAGATTTATATCAGGCTTCTCTAAATATAAAGTCTTACTATAATATTTCTACAAGACTGATGCGTGAGAGGGCTATTCACAGCTTAAGAAACCATTGGATATTTTCCTAAGATTGGAACTCTGAGCTGGTTTCCACTTCTTATGCTTGACATTTATTAAGTTTATTTTTTTCTCAGAGCCTTCCATAGTGGCTTTTCTATGTCTCAATACACCAGACCATTATGTCTCTGAATGACCTCCTCTTTCATTAAAGCAGTTGATACCTCCAAGCTTAACTGTGTCTGTGCAAGATATTAATATACAGAGACTTTTTCCCCTTTGCTGCTAACCTCCTCTTCACTCCAATTATCCAAGTGGTTGAGACCTACCATTGGAGTTGTTAGTTATATTAAATTGAGAAATAGTCACAGGTCATAAACCTCCTAAATAAATTGTGCTCAAATAAAATGTGCATAGAAATTAAAGTTCTAGATCACATTTATTTCCAAGTTTTACTGTGTTCACAGTGATTTTCTTTTGCGCATGTAATGAATCCTTATTTGTTTAATGACAGTGATTAGGTTTCTTAAATTACCAGAAATCAAATCCATTTCCCTCAGCACTGGGCATATACATGAGAATTTTCAGTTGTATATTCTCCAGGCTCCTTTTTATAATGGCACTAAATATGTATAAACAAGCATCTGTTGCCGTAATTTAAATGTTTTCTTCATATGCACTGCATGTATATTAAACAGAGAATGTGTTGTATAACATATTAGTTATGTTCATAGATTAGTATCTTTATTTGTGAATAGCTAGCTTGTAAATATCTCCAATAAATGTAGCAAAGTATATCTTTCCGACTCAAATAGTCACATCTTCCATATGACGGTATGTTTTATATTTATTATTCAAGATCACGTTTCAAAGTACTTAGAATCTACAGCTATAAGAGGTCACACCTCTCCTTGCTTTAGGTGATTTTCAACAAAATAACTACCTTTTCTTAAACTATCCAGAGATTCAAATATAATTTTGACACTTGCTGCCTTGAAATAATGGTGCTAATTAAAATTAAAATTGGAATAGAAATTTAAAATTAAAATGACAAAAAAGAAGACCCTGCAGTTGACAAATATATATGTAAAATAGAATCAAAGAAAAAGAGAGTAGTTGGAAAACAGTATGCTAAATTGACTTTTTAAATAAGAAGTTGGCAAGTATAATGGAGGCTTGTATATTCTATGCAGAATGAGGTGACTTTTAACCATACAATTTTCGGCACAGTGACAACTGATGTTGAAGAAACTAGATGGAACATGAATTAAACTATTAAAAATAAGAAAAGTCAGTATATACACATTATAGGATATTTTCATCAATTTTGCTGCTTACAAATTCAAGTGGAATTGCAGAACAAAACCTATTTTATGAACGTGCCATTTGACCTAAGCCCCTTGAAAATAATAATATTAACCTTTACCACCAGGCTATAATAAAATGCTTTGCATTTAAATAGCCAGTAAGTGTCTTTCCTATTCTTTTCCACTATGTGAATTTTTGCAGGTTTATATTAAACATGTATAGAACAGTATATCTTACATTGAAGAATAGCCTCATGATGATGCTGTTTTATGAATAATTGATATGCGAATTCATTAATATCTCACCTTCAAATCATATGTGTGATTTTATCCATATCCAGACATTCTGTTGTTAATTTATTTAGATAACTAAAGATTGTATTAGTTGTCTATTGCTATGTAACAATAACCACAATTTTAGTAGCTTAAAACACTACACATTTATTATCTCATAGTTTCTTTAGGTATACTATATCTCTAAGCATGGTATAGACATGTTCTCGGTTCAAGGCTTTGGAAAACTACAATCAAGCTGTCAGTCACACCACAACTCATTTGAGTCTCTGGGTCCTACTCCAAACTCATTCAGATTGTTAGAAAAATTCAGTTCCTTGTGGTTGTAGTACTGAGGTCCCTATTTTCTTGCTAGCAATTAACAGGGACAAATCTCATTTTCCAACACTGCTCACAGTGCCTAGCCAGACAGCTTCCAACATCAGTTCACAACAAAGCTGTTTGCTTTCTTCCACACCAGCAGAAATAAGACTGTTTAAAGTCTTTATCTAGGACTAGCTGAAAGTAATGCTCTGCTTTCGAAGGATGCACTTAATTAGGTCACCTTCACCCAGCATAATCTCCCTGTTTTTAGGGCAACTGATTTGAGACTTTCATCACATCAGCAAAATCCCTTCACAGGAGCACCTAGGTTAGTGTTTGAATGCCTGGGATGAAGTGCATATATCCCAGGTTCCTGGATCTTGAGGGACATCTTAGAATTCTCCCTACCACAAAAATTGTAAGTTAGGGCTTTTTATATAGCAAAAAAATTTTATAATAGACTTTTACTGCAAAATAACATGGCCTTGAAAGATCAAGGAAAGAAAAGTATGAGTTTGGATCAGACTGCCTGGAGTTTACCTTTATGCTCCATCCCTTGAGAAAGGCTTTTTACCTTTAAGAAAAGTAAAATTCCACATCTCTTATAGCTAGAATGCCTATGTATCTTGATCTACCCAGAAAAATCCAGTGTACCTCTGTTTTTCCGGTGATATAACTAAAAGTGTTGTTTGCAGTACATTCTAAGATGTATTCTTGTTTGGACAATAAATCATATGGTCTACTTACATGGCTACTCTGAGGTTCTAATTAGAATATATACATATAAAATCTTGCAGTATTTGGGTAATAGAAGGCACTCAAGAGACATTAGTATAGACACCCCCTTTTTCACCAACCTAGATTTGTATCAATGCCATTGTGCAAAAGCTTTATGTACATATTGTCACATTCAATGACAAATACAAAAAATTAATAAAATAAGAAACTAAGATTAAAATTGCATAAACTATACTTAGGGATGTTAGAAAATTAGATAATAAAAATTCAGAGCCAAAAATTGCAAGTTAGTTTATTTTAAGAATATGAAATTTGAGTGTTTCTATGGTGCAGTGTTATATTAGGGTTCTTAGAAGATAATCTAGAATAATTTTTAAAAGATGAATCACATTTATACAAGTTAACAAGAAAGGAAAGATATTCATTAAAAAAAAAACTTAAATAGAACCCAGTGGATGAACAGCAACTGAGTTAGAAGTTCCATGTGGATAGAGCACAAAATGATGACAGGATCCAATGACAGACAGAGCCAACAAGGTGAAGTCTATTTCAAGCAGTGAAAGATTCTGACGGCTGGGCAAGGACTATATATGTTTTTAATAGGTGGCTGACACAATCACAGTCTGTCAAATGATTGTAAAGGTCAAGGATTGAATCAGGAAACAAGGTCAGGAGAAACTTCCAATTATTTGAACAAAAATAATAGAGTCCTGAGTTAACACAGTAATGACATGAAAAACAAAGAGAAAAGAGAAGAAATATAAGGAATGGAAGTATATATACATGTGTGTATATATAAGTGAATATATACATGTGTGTATATATAAGTGAATATATACACACATACAAAAAGAAAGCATATATGTGTATATATACAAGTATAAATATATACACACATATATGTCCTTTCTTGTATATATGTAAATATACATGTGTGTGAATTTATATCTAGCTCAAAGTCATATATATTGAATATAAAGATGTCAATCACTAAGGGATGTATGAAGGGGCCTACTGAATAAAAATAGGAAGAGGCATCAAGGTTAAGTAGTGGAAATACTAAAAATAAGTTAGTATATTAACAACAACAAAAAAAAACTCCACTTCAGTTATATAGCATTTAGTCAGGTATATGAATTATTATAGAAGCAAAGATTTTTTTTTTGAGATGGAGTCTTGCTCTGTCGCCAGGCTGGAGTGCAGTGGCACAATCTCCGCTCACTGCAACCTCCACCTCCCGGGTTCAAGCCATTCTCCTGCCTCAGCCTCCTCAGTAGCTGGGACTACAGGCGCGCGGCACCATGCCCTGCTAATTTTTTGTATTATTAGTAGAGACGGGGTGTCACCATATTGGGCAGGCTGGTCTCAAACTCCTGACCTCATAATCTGCCCTCCTTGGCCCTCCAAAGTGCTGTGATTACAGGCGTGAGCCACTGCGCCCAGCCGAAGCAAAGATATTTTTTTAAAAAGAGGAAAACAGAGCTAAGCACGGCTTGCACTTTATTAAACTGAAGTGTTATTGTGATCAAGTTATAGTAAGAACCTGACCAGTTAGAGTTAAATGTTGTCTTCAAAGCAAGTATGTTTTTTATCTGGTTGCTGTATTTTTGTCAACAAGGTTGCTATTTTATGGTACAAGTATTATAATTAATTGCAGCTTCAGAAAAGCTATGTGGAAAAGTTTTGGCAAGGAGCCAGGCTTCAAGGGGCCTTAAAAAGAAGGCTGTGACATCTTGAGTCTGCTTAAGATACATAAAATATTATATATGTTATATATGACGTATATTATGTATATATATCTGTATGTATATGTTTAAATACATATACATACATATATGCCTATATGTGTATATGTAATGTATGTAGTATATATGTATATCTATATATCTATAAAGATATATAGATATCCTTAGTGCCCCATCAATTCAACTAGCTCACCATCGACATGAATGAAACAATTAGAAAACAGGAAAAATCAAAGACAAGATCCATATGGATGTTAACCTCCGTGTGTCATAACTTAGAAGTGCGTTGCTTGGATTTTTTTTCTTACTATAGCCCTAGATGTTTGGGCTTACCCTTAATCGCAGTTGAATAAAGAGTAAACAATACGCATATTCTCAATCTGTGATAAGTATTCTATTTGACTTACTATTTTTCACCCCATTACTTCCAGTGATCCAGGGAGAATATGGGCTTCTGTAGCATCCTTGACTGCCTTTCTATACTCCTAGGAAGTGTAATGGTCTCCCTCTTCATCTGGTAACTGATACCATTAATTAGACCTGACAAATTAATGATAGGCTATATTAACCACATTTGTCTAAGCATTTCACAGATATCTCCTGCTTCCAGTGAGAGTCAGTTAGACTTAAATAAAATATTTCGAATCCTGAATTTCCCCATAAAGCCAGGTTCCCTAGTCCCAAAATTATCTCTAATAGGATTTTTTTAAGTTATTGTGGTGATGGTTTACCAGTGTACACACATCAGGTAATTATAATACTTGTACCATAAAATAGCAGCCCTGTTGACGAAAATATAGCAACCAGATAAAACATATACTTGTTTTGAAGACAACATTTAACTCTAACTGGTCAGGTCAGATTTTTCAATGGGTCATGGGAGTTGAAGTAAACAATAAAACAGAGGTACACATTGACCAATTGCATAATTTTTAATCAAAAGTACAAAATTTCCATTGGCTAAGAAGTTTGAAACATCCTAAAATTTGGGATATTTCTAAGGGTTAAAATTATCAGTATTTCCCTATTGCTAGCCAAATAAACATTGTTCTTCTCAGCCAAAGAACTTCATGTTCTGCCTTTCCTAATGTGTATCTATTTTCTTTCATATGAACCATATTCCTATTAAGTTGAATTACTTGCTAATTCATGAATATGCCTTGAGGTATAATATCCTTTTGAAATTGATTTTATTCAGACAAGCAAGATTTGGCTGTATCTGCTTAGTTCATCCTTACTTTATATTATGAGAGTGCATGAGGCTAAGCAATGAATATATAACTCCATTCCTATGGTGTTCTGATAGGAGGAATTAGGTGGTAGTATGAGTAGAACAGCTGCAAGTACTGGTCCTTCATTCATTCACTTAACAAACTACCTGTGAGGTGCTATGCCAAGTCTTGTGTATTGAGGTCAACCAGCAAGAAATAAGTGAGAATAATCCAAGCACGAAGAGAGTCCCAGCTCTTTTGCTCAGGAATCATGCAGTGTAGAGAGCGGAGACGGAAAAGCTAGGAGGGATAGCACAGCCTTAGGCTTTGAAGAATCTTGCCTCTAGAAAAGATGCAGAGTCAATATAGAATTGAATTATGATGCAAGCATGACTATTTAGCAAAACCCATGTTACAATATAATATTTCTTCCCAATTTTACCCCAAGGCCAGAGGTAAATCAGCATGTCTAGTCCTAGGTTCCTTAAGTGACTCCACAGCCAAACAGGAAATATCTCATGCATCAGTACATGATCAACTTGTTTTACCTCTGCAAACATCTTAGAATGATAATTCTCTAGAAATAACAAAGCTGAGAAGTCTGGTGATGTTCCTCAACATTTAGCCACAGTAATCAAAATACCTCTCTAAATTTATCACTTGTGTTGGAGGGAGTTGAAATAAACAATAAAACAGAGGTATACATTGACCAGTAAGATATTAGAAGCCATTCATTTCAATTATGCTCATGGACCAATAGCAAAGTTCTCAAAGAAGCTTCCATTCAAAATTTGTATTGTCTAAAATAGTAAATTAAAGCATGATTCAAAAAAAACATGTTGGTTTCATATGTATTCACTAAGAAAATTAATACTGACATTCGAATTGTCATGATTATTAAATACTAACATAGGGAAGGGCATGGAAAATACTGTAAATAGTGTAGTTCATAGACACTGGTTCATACAATTTGCCTGTAACTGTAATGTGTTTTCAACAGGCTGATAGCTTCCAAACTCAAGTGCCTGACTATCTCTGCTTCTCTGTCCAAGGATGTTCTCCAATACTCCTGAGGGTCGCTAAATTGAAAGCAGTTCTCTATTTTTAAATATGAGAAATTAACACCCATGGTGCAAGCCCCTGCCACTAAAGAATGAGAGTTGGAGTATAGATGGCCCAACTTCTTGTCCTCTGATCCTGTGATTATGAGCATGCACTACACCATTTCTCAACAGCTCCTTACTGTTTGAGCTTCATTTGCTTACAGAAGTAAAACTAACACACCCTTTATTTTATTCCCTTTCTTCCTTTCTTTCTCATTTTACCCACTCCCTCACTTGTAACTTCTGGGATCACCTCTCAGTTGAAGTACCTGTCCTGAAGGCCTTAACTTAGTGTCATGTTTTTGGGAAAACTCAAACTAAAGGCAAGGCTATATTTTTTTCCTCTTTTCACTTTATTACCACAATAATTTTATACTTATTCAAATATTTGTTATTCTGCTCTCTGATTTACAGGCTTATCTCTCCTACAAAAAAAAGATAAACAGAAATATAAGAAAATGATTTTATTTAACATTCTAACTTTAATACCCATTACATCAGTAAATGGTTGTTGAGTGAATGAATGGCTGAATGGAAAACATGAAGATTTAAAACCATGAGTTGTTCTATGCATTATTGCGTATTGCTTTGATCAATGTGGCAATGATTCAGATAGCTATAGCAGATGGTAATTTCCATATTCTCTAAAGTTGTAAATCCCAAATCACCAAAGGCCAGATTTCAAGGACCTGGGCCATCCTCTTTCCTGAAAAGGAAGCTAAAGTAGGTAATACTGATCCATTATTATAGTAAAAACATTTGGCCACCCCAGCTACTTGCAAACAAGTGAGACATCATTTTAGACTAAGGATCTCAGGCGTATCTGGAAGAGTCTGGGAAAATTAGATAGATAAAGTTACTTTAGGTACTGATTTTTCTACTCTAGGAACTAACCTGCCAATTGTAGGTACTTTTTTCCATGTGAAATACTTGTTCAACAAGTTGAAACTGACAGTATACAAAATGTTTTACTGCCATGTATCAGGCAGTTTGATGCATTTTATGCCTGAATAAATGCAAAATGAAATTTTAGCTGAAGGTGATGGTATAGTAAATGGCTTTTAATAAAGCAGGGAATAAGGTATATGTCTCCCATGGAGAAACCCATGGTGACGATGTGTCTGATTCATATTTTAATTGCCAGAATAAAATCAAATGTACATAAGTTCAGGCATGCTAATGAACAAGAAACAGAATTGGCTTTTTCTCTGCCTATTGAATTGTCTAATGGTTTTTGAGAGAAGCAAACAGCATTGTGGATCCAAATATTACTCCAAGGAATTATAAACTCTATAACTCGCAGATTAACATTGAATGCTCTTTTGCAATGACACTCATTCTTCAGCAACATGGTTTTTCCAAAAAGACATATGTTGAAATGGTTTGCTAGAATTTTCTAATGAATTTCTTTAAATTGGGACATACTATAAAATAAATCTGATCTCTGATCCATGTTTTAACAATCGGCTTGAATAATCATTGATTTCCTTTTTTACCAAAATATCTTATTTTGCTATCCCCCTCTTTCCTTAGAAAAATTGTTGATTGCTGTATTTTATTTGTATTAACAGTTAATACAAATATAACATACTATGTGAAATATATTTTGCATAAGAAGATTACTTGTCTAAAATGAATCAGTATAACTTTTAGCTTAAAAACCAGGCCCACATTTAACATTTTAGTTTGTCCATATGGTCTAGTTGTGAGAAAAATGCACAATCTTGAAATTTTAACAACAGATCATAAGCTATTTTTGAAAAATTCTATAAATTAGAGAATTTTGTTTTTTGGGGTTTACTGTTGCTTTAGAAGGGCAAAGGTAAGTTACATTTTGAATATATCATTCACTTACTCCATAATGTAAATTCTACAAGTATTGATTTAACGTATACTATGGAGGGTCCCTCAAACCTGATTACTGATATTCTCTACATAAAGACTTTCTTGGATTATGCAGGTTTAGGAGACTGACAGAGAAAAACGGAAGAGTATTGCCCTGTCTGTACACTCATATACCCACATTTAAGCTGGGATGTGGGGAATAAACAATAGTGAGGAGTTTACTTGGCTCTGAGACTATGACAATGCCAATAGCATCATAGATGGGGAAACAAAAAATAATGCATAAGTTGAGGACGTGTGTTTTACTCTTCAAGAATTTTATGTGTGTATGTGTCCTATGGTCAGGCACAATACTAGACACCAAGGGATAATAATACAGCCCTTGTCCTCAAGATTTTTATATTATAGTATTTATATTATAAGAAGGTGGTGTGACATGACAAAAGAGAAAAAACATAAATATGCATGAAAACTAAGATGATGGTAAATAGTATAAACATTTAACAATCTAATATTCTGAATGACTGGAATTTGAGGAGCTGCCAAGCAGGGGCCAGAGTATATACATAGGGTACCCATATATACTATTATTCTTTTGATATTATGTCATGAAACTAACACTTTGAGGTTGCACTTAAGTCACATGAATGGAGGTTGAATCCATGGGGCCTGAGAAATTTCTAAACAACTGAGCATGAAGAAAGAAAAAGGTCCTGGGCAGACAACTACAATGGTGGGAAAGAATGATCCTAGAAAATCAGGGAAGAATATTCCCAATTCTCTAAGAAATATTTTTAAATGCACAGATTCCGATATTACTATTACCTTATTTAGGTAAACCAATTTTTTCAGTGAGCCATAAAAACCATCTAGAATGGGCAAACAAAAAAATACTTGTCATGTCAGTAAGATTGATTTCATCTCATTTTAGTACTAGAATGTGAAATTAAGAGATTTTCTTTACTGCAAAACTCTCTGGAGCCAAAACAGGAAGAGAAGAAAACAAAGAAAATGAAAGCATATATATGCTTCTTACAAGTTCAGGGTTACAAACTAGAGAGCAATAGAGAAGACCATCAAGAGCAAAAATTACATCCCTTGCATTTTGATGTCCCGTACAGTAAGCAAAAGACACAATAGCCAAAGAAGATCGCTTTCTGTTCCTTTGGCCAAGAGAGGTTTACAAACATTGAGATTGTAGAGAGAACATCTTCAGTTAAGCCATTGACTTTTTTTCTCCCTCACATATATTTATTCTTACACCAGTAGTTTAATGTCAACAGCTGTGTGCTTTTTTTGTATTTTTAACGGATTTAAAAAAAAAATCTGCCAAGTTATTGACATCACTCTTTGCGTTAGTGTCAGAGCAAAACCAATGCATTGCATACTTTCAAATTTAGCATTTGGTAGTAGTACAGAGTAAAAAAGTAATAATCAGAGATTTAAGATATTAGAACATTTGCCAGTCTTTTGTAAGTGAAAAAGACTTGTGAAAAAGCAGACATTTAAAATGTGGTGCTGATTTTTAAAAATGAATTTTAAAATTAGCTTGCTTATTGCAATATACCAAACATTCAGAAAATTTGAACAAATTAGTATACTGCTTGATGAATATCACAAAATGAACACAGCTGAGACTCACTACTCAGATCACGAA
This sequence comes from Homo sapiens, assembly GCF_000001405.40. NCBI lineage: Eukaryota > Metazoa > Chordata > Mammalia > Primates > Hominidae > Homo > Homo sapiens. The sequence goes on from NC_000016.10 coordinate 63,503,488, forward strand.
ATAAGACATTATTAGTACCACAGAAGCCCTGTAATGCCTTCTCCAGTCACTAGGCTAAGCCTCATCCCAAAGTATTAACAACTAATTAGACTTCCAAATGTATATATTCATTTGCATCTACTTTAGTACTTCAATATCTTATTTGAGGAGTTTCACTTATAGTGTTTCTAGCCCATCCTCGGGAACAAGGAAAATACTAAAGGCCAATATAGCTCCTTTTGTTGCACTCATGTATCAAATGGAAAATGAAAGAAACAAAATTTTATCTAAATAGTAATGAATTCACACTAATTTTAAAGCACACTAGGTATAATACATGGTCAACGTTTAACTCATGCAATGACAGAAAATATTTCTTATGCTAAGCGCCATCCTAAATACACACCTTTATCTCTACTTGGCCTAAGGTATTAGTATTAATTTTTCAGGTGATTATAATATGCAGCCGTGTTCAGGAACCAGTGCGCCAAAAAGCAAGCAGGTAGTTTGGTAATTGTCAAATGTCCCCTTCCTTAGAATGACTTCAGCTTGTGTGTTCTTGTGAAGTATATTTACTTAAACAAATTAAATAGTTAAAGGAACTGGCAGGTCTGCATTTCATCATGATTGACAGGTTGAAAAAGAAATGTAGCTATGAGGTCGAATATCTACCATTTTAAGTGGAATCTGGCCTTGACTATCTCCGCTTAACCTTGCCTCTTTATTTCCTTCATTTTGTTTGCTTTGGTTTAGTTTGCTTTTCTTTTCTAGTATTCAATGTAGATGCTTAAGGTTACTGATTTTGATATGTTTATTTTTTAGTGTAGGAGTTTACAGCTATAAATTTCTGAGTACTTATTTTGTGGCACCTCATAAACTTTGTATGTTTTGTGTATGTTCTTTTTCCATTTATCTTAAATGATTTTATAATTATCTTACTAGTCCATCTTTAACCAATTGGTTATTTATATTGTGTTTATTGTTTGTTTAATTTCCACCGATTTGTGAATTGCCCAAATTTTCTGTGGTTACTAATTTATATTTTCTTGAAAAACATTAAGTGTATACTTATACTTTTACATGAGTGCTATATAGAAATATATTTGTTCTAGTTGCTTGTTATTGCTTTTAAAATCTATTTCCTTGCTTATTATCTGTCTAATCACTGAATACATTATTAAAAGAAAAATGTTAAAGCCTCTATTATTAGAGAGGAAATGCCTATTGTTGCTTCTATTATGTCAGTTTTTTGTTTTATGAATTTAGAATATTTGTTGTTACGTGCATACAGGTTTATAATTGTTAGATCTTCTTGATGGATTATTACTTTTGTCATTACAAAATGTACTACTTTGTTTCCTGTAAAAAATTCTACCTTAAAGTCCATTAGTCTGACATTAGTGTAGCTACCCTAATGCACCTTTAGTTACTGTCTATATGGTATACTTATTTGCATTTTTTTACTTTAAATCAATTTGTTTCTTTGAATTTAAAGTCTCTGTAAAGGAATATAGTTCTACTAAGTTTTTAGATCTATTCTGCCAACTCCAATTTTGACCTGAAAATTTAATCCATTTTCCTTTAAATTAATTAGTGATAAAGAAACAATAATTGCTACCATTTTGCTATTTGTTTTCTGTATGTCTTATTTAGTTTTGTCCTCAATCCCTCCTGACTGCCTTCTCTTGTGTAATATCAGTATTTCTAAAGTATTATTTAATTATTCTTTTTTTACAATCATTTTGAAATTTTCTCTTAGTGGACTTTCTAGGAATTATAACTAACATCTTAGTTATTAGCAATCTTATTTGGATTAATACCAACTCAATTTCAATAGTGTACAATTCTACTGTATAGCTCCATTCATTCTCCCTGCCTCTTTTACCATTACTGTCACACAAATAACATAAGTATATATTAAACAAAGATGTAGGAATTCCAATGGCATTTTTTTCACAAAAAAAATAGAAAAAAATCCTAACATTCATATGAAAACCCCAAAGACCCTGAACAATCAATGTAATCTTGAACAAACAAAAAAAGCTAAAGACATCATGCCTCCTGATATCAAATTGTATTAGAAAACTGAAGTGATGTGCCCATCAATACAGACAAATAATTACTTATTTATACAGTTGTCTTTTAAGTCTGATTATGATAAAATAGAGTTACAATAAAAAATGCATTCATGCTGGAGAGTAACACCAGCAAGATGGTGGAATATCAGCTTTCAGTTCTCATCCCCACACATAAACAACTATTTTGGCAATCACCAATGAATAAGAATAATTTTATGAGAATCTTCCAGTCTAGTTGAGGTACCAGCACCCCTGTGGAACAAGAGGGTAAGCACAGTTTCACTTTACCTGCATTGTCCTGCCCCACCCATGCAATTGACACAGCCAAGAAAGGAACTCAGCCCATAATTTCTCTCATGAAGGAAAGTGGCAGAGCAGTGAGCACCTGCCTTTCCCAGCCTTGAAGGATGTTGTCAGGAGGCTCACTTCTGTCTCACCCCATCCAGAACACTGAGGGGTCACAGAGTGGAATCATCTGAGGACAGCTAGAAGTAGGGAGAATAAAATGGAGCACACAAAAACCAGTGTATGGTTCCAGACACCTAGCCATGGGTCCTGCTAACCTGCTTGCAGACTTTGCCAAGAGGCCAACCCATGAAACCTGCAGGATGATGAGTCTGAGGGTTCCCTCGACAGCTGACACATTCTCCCAGCACCCCACAGGCTCTCTCTATGAACATCAAGTCCATGTCTTGGTGCATAGCTCATATGAGTTCCACGTGAAAGCACCCATGTCTCACCAGCAGTTGTGAATCTTAACAGGTGGCTCTATTCTCCTGGTGTGGGACAAGATGCGTAACATTAAGCACTTCAAAGTACTTCCTTAGTGAAAATAATGGGAGGCTCTCAGCACCAGGGCTGGCTTTACAGGATCAAGAGAAGATACATAATTCTAAAACTTGTTCCCCTAAGAGGAAACAAGAGGAGTAGTCAAGCACAACCATAGTAAAGGACTGTGAAATCACCAGAATCTCAAGCTGGGCTCATAGCAAAGTTTGTTTTACTTGAAAAGGACCTTCATGGCCAGGCATGGTGGCTCATACCTGTAATCTCAGCACTTTTGGATACTGAGGCAGGAGGATTGCTTGAGCTTATGAGTTTGAGACCAGTCTGAGCAACATGGTGAAATTCTGTCTCTACAAAGAATACAAAAAAAAAAGTAGCTGGGTATGCTGGTGCTACTGGGAAGGCTGAGGTGGGAGGATCACTTGAGCCTGGGAGGTGGAGGCTGCAGTGAGCCATGATTGCGTCACTGTACTCCATCCTGGGTGAGAGAAGGAGACCCTGTCTCAAAAAAAGAAAAAAAAAAAAAAGAAAGAAAGAAAAGATCCTCACCGTGATCACAGTCAGAAAAAAACTGGAGAAGGTGACTGCTTCTTCAGATATGAATATGTCAATACAAGTCTTTAGTAAACATAAAGAGTCAAGAGAATATGACACCACTAAAGGAAGAACATAAAGTTCCAGTGGCTGACACCAAAGAAATGGTAGTCTGTAAATTGCTTAACAAAAATTTAAAATATTCATCTTGAAGAAGCTCAGTGAGCTACAAGAGAAAACAGATTGTTAATTAAATTAAACTAGGAAAACAACACAAGGACAAATGAGAAGTTAAATAAAGAGATAACAACTACAGAAAAGAACCAAACATAAATTCTGGAGCTACGGAATACAAAGCTTAAGCTGAAAGATTTAACAGAGTGCTTCAAAAAGCAGTCTCAATTACACAAAGAAAGGAATCTGTGAATTCAAATATAATTCATTTGAAATTACATATTTAGAGATACACAAAGAAAAAATAATATAAATGTATGAAGAAATCCCACAAGACTTATTGGATACCATCCCCCAAACCAATATATGAATTATGAAAGTTCCAAAAAAAAAACAGAGAATGAGAAAGAGGACAAGCTTATTTTAAAAAGTAAGTGAAATTATTCAAATCTGGAGATGAAAATAAATATTTAGACCCATAAAAGCCAAAGAAGTATAAATAATTTCAGCATGGAGAGGTCTTCACCAAGACACAATATAATCAATTTGTCAAAGCTACAGACAAAGCAAAAGAAAAGTGCTTGTCACACATAAAGGAACTATCCTAAGGCTCCATATGGATATCTCAACAGAAAAACTTGTGGACCACGACAGATTGGAATTGAAGGTGAGGTATTCAGAGTGAGCTATTCAAAGTGCTGAAAGAAAACACAAACAAATATTAAAAATCAAAAGAAATCTGCTAAGAATACTTAACCTAGAAAAGCTGTCCTTTAGAAGTGCAGGAGAGATAAAGTCTTTCCCAGAAAAGCAAAGGCTGACAAACTTCATCACCACTAGGCCTGCCTTAGAGAAAATGCTAATGGAAGTTCTTCAAGCTGAAATTAAAGGCTACTGATTAGTAACATAAAAACATATGAAAGTATAAAACTCACTGGTAAAGTTAAACTCATTATCAAATTCAGAAAACTCTAATGCTTCAATATTGGTGCTAAATCATTTAATATCTAGTATAATGGTTAATTTAATGCAATTCCTATCAAAATTTCAATGACATTTTTAATCTAAATTGAAAAAAAATTACTAAAATTCTTCTGGAACTACAAAAGACCCTGTATAGCCAAACTAATCTGGAGCAAAGAGAACAAGCCTGGAGACATCATGCTTTCTAATATCAAATTATATTAGCTAGTGATAGTAATGAAAACAGTATGGTAATGGCATAAAACAGACCAATAAAACACCATATAGATCCCAAAAATAAACCCACATATATAAAGCCAAGTATATTTCCACCAAAGTGCCCAGAATACACAACGGAGAAAGGCTGATCTCTTTAATAACTGGTATTGGGAGAACTGGATATCCACATGAAAAATAATAAAGTTGGACACTTACATAGTGCACAAAAATCAACACAAAGTGGATTAAAGATCTAAATGTAAGATCTAAAGTTGTAAAACTTCTAGAAGAAAACACTGAGGCCAGGTGCGGTGGCTCACGCCTGTAATCCCAGCACTCTAGGAGGCCAAGGCAGGTGGATCACGAGGTCAGGAGATCGAGACCATTCTGGCTAACACAGTGAAACCCCGTCTCTACTAAAAAATACAAAAACTTAGCTGGGCCTAGTGGCGGGCGCCTGTAGTCCCAGCTACTCGGGAGGCTGAGGCAGGAGAATGGCATGAACCCAGGAGGCGGAGCTTGCAGTGAGCCGAGATCGCACCACTGCACTCCAGCCTGGGCGACAGAATGAGACTCCGTCTCAAAAAAAAAAAAAAAAAGAAAACATTGAAAAAAAGTCTCCTTGTCCTTGGTCTTGGCAATACGTTTTTTAAAATCAAAAGCACAAGCAACAAAAGCAAAAACTGACAAATGGGATTACATTAAACTATAAAGGTTCTATACAATAAAGGAAACAACCCAAATTAAAAGGCAACCTATGGAATGGCAGAAAATATTTTCAAATTATATATCTGATAAGAGGTAACAACCACAATATACAAGAAACTCATACAACTGAATATCAAACAAACAAAACCCAAATTATTCAAATAAAAACGGGCAAAGAACCTGAATAGATATTTTCCCAAAGAAGATACACTAATGTCCAACAGGTATATGAAAAGCTGCTTAACTCACTAATCATCACGGAAATACAAGTCAAAGCCACAATGAATATCACCTCACACTTGTTAGGATGGCTATTATTAAAAAAGTAATAAATTTAACAAGTGTTTAGCAAGGATGTTGAAGAAAGGGAATGATTATACACCAATAGTGTAAATGTAAATTGATAGAGCCATATGGAAAACTGTTTAAAGTTCCTCAAAAAATTAAAAATAGAACTTTCATGTGGTGTAGGAATATGACTTCTGGGTGTATATCCAAGTAAACTGAAATAAATATATTGAAGATATATTGGAACTCCCTTATTTATTTAAACATTTTTCACACTAGCCAGATATGTAAACACCCTAAGTCATTGATGGGATGACATAAATAAAAAGGATTTCCTTTTTATGTAAGTCAAATAATATTTCATTATATATTATAATTATATATAATGGAATTATTATATATAATGGAATATATAATGAAAATTATAATATATAAGAATAGTATTTTATATCAAAAAATAATGTATTTTTATAAATTACATATAATCCCGTTATATATAATTATAATATATATTATAATATATAATTCCAGTTTTATAATTATAATTATATATGTAATTCCATTATGTATATATATCATGGAATATTATTTAGCCTTTAATAAAAAGGAAATTCTGCCATTTGTGACAACATGGACGAACCTGGAAGGCATTGTTAAGTGAAATACTCCAGAGACAGAAAGACAAACACTGTATGATCTTACTCATATGTGGCAAGTAAATAGTGAAACTCAGATGCAGGGAATAGAATAGTGGTTGACAGGAACTAGGGAGAGGGAAAAATTAGAAGTGATGGTTAAAAGACACATAGATTCTCTTACGCAAGATAAATATATTCTGGATATCTATTATAAAGTATAATGTCTATAGCTAACAATACTTCATTGTATACTTGAAATTTGCTAAGAGGCTGTATCTTATATAAAGTGTTCCTACCAAAAATAAACACATACCCATAAAACCCCGATGATAATAATAAAGGAGGTGGGAAGAAACTTTGAGAGGTGATAGACACACCCTCTTTAGGGGTGGTGGTGGTTTCACAGGTGTATCCTTATCCCCAAACTCATCGAGATGTATGTACTAAATATGTTTCACTATTTAAATGTCAATCACACCTCAGTAAGGTGTTTTTTAAAATACATTTATATTTTCTCTCATATTTCCCGATGTCATTACTTCACTTAAGCCTGAAAGATTCCTTTGAATATTTCTTATAGGGCAAGTGTACTAGCAACAATCTTTGTTTGTTGTTGATCTCTTTGAGTTCATCTGACTTGAAGTTTATATTGAGCTTCATGAATGATTGGATTAATAGATTAATCTATTAATCCATTAATTATAGATTAACTATTAATTATAGATTAATGTTTTCTTTCAAGTTCAGAAAATTTATTCCATTATTTCTACAAATATTAATTTTTCCCATTTCCTATCTCTTCTCCTTCTAAAATTCCCATTATGCATATATTTTTGTGTCTGATGATATATTATCTGAGGTCTTTGGTCTTAAGCTCTGTTCATTTTTCTTTCTTTTATTTTTCTTTCTTTTTTTTCTGAGATCTGAGACTGTTCATTTTTCTTTTTTTTCCTGTTCTTCCGTTAAGTGGATAATCAACACATTTTTAGTTTACTAATTATTTCGTCTGCCAGATCACATCTGCTATAGACCCCTACTAGCGAATATTTTATTTCAGTTATTGTACTTTTGGACTCCACAATTTTTATTTGTTTTCAAATTTTATCTCTTTGTTGATATTGTTTCTTTCTAAATTTTTATGTTTTATATTTAGACATGATTATATGTAGTTGTTTGAACATATTTCAAATAACTGTTCTAAATAACTTTTTATTAGGAATATTAATAAAATTTAAAATATTAACAACAATATTTTTACTTTGAATCTACTGTTTGGGCCTCCTGAGATGCAGTTTCTGTTGACTGCATTGTTTCTCTCTGTGAGTGAGACTTACTTTCTTGTTTCTTTGCATATCTAATGACTTTTTGTTAAAAAGTAGCTATTTAAAAATATGTAATGTGGCAACTTTGAAAATCATATTTTCTTCCCTTCCAAGCTTTTGATCTGTTGTTACTTTATATTGCTGTCGGTATTACTGTTTGCTTATTTAGTGAATTTCATGAATTAATTCGATGACGCCTCTATCCTTTGTAGTGTATACCTGCTAAAGTTTCTGCTAAGTTAGCTTAGTGGTCAGCTAATGGTTGGACAGTAATGTCCTCAAAGGCCTTTGATCAATAAGTCTTCCTGCATTTGCAGAGGGTTCTAGGTGTCTTGAGGTTTACTTTCAAGGCTCAGTCAGAAAATATAAAATTCTGTCTTATTCTTTACTTTCTACTTTCTCAAAGTAAACCAGAGCTGAGAGCCTTGGATATTCTCAGGTTTTTCTGTTTTATGCTAAAACTCCTTGATGTGCACACAACCCTATACCTGCATTTGAAGCTTCATCCAAAGCCTGCTATGAACATTTCATTCCCAAGCCTTCTCTTTCGGGTATTTTAGTCAGCCTCTTTTTATCGCTGTTATCACTACCTCAGAAAGAGGTGGTGCAGAACCATTATCTCTCTTTGGATTCAACAGATTCCCTCCAGGGAAATGACTGTTTGCCTTGACTGAGGACTAAGGTCAAATAAAACAAGAAATCCTCCCTGTGAGTGGGAATTCCTAGGAAGCATCCAGAGTGATCAAATAATGACAATTCTCTGGGAGTGGAGCATTTGGGAAGCTTCAGTCCTGTTTTATCCCTGCCAATGTCTGCTTGGCTGCTGGCGTTCATTGTGATCATGGGCCTACTGGTTTCCAAGGCTACAATGGAGGCGATAGAGTGGGATGGAAATAAGACAGAATACTACAAAGCTCATTACCCCTACCAAGATTCAGCTGTTTTGTTTTTGTATTTGTTTTTTAATAAACACTTCTTGGATTGTCGCAAAAAAAATGGTTAAAGCGTTCTAAAGAATTGATTTTGATCATTTTAATCTGTGTTGTCTTTCTTTTATGAAGTAACAAGTATTTGGAGATACTTACTCCATCATCCTCACTGACATAATTCTAATCTATTTCCCTTTGGACTATGTATAGGCAGCTTCATAAAAAAGCAAATTGAGTTGTTAGATTTTTCTTAAAAAGTTTATCACAAAATATATTCATACTAGGATAAATTTTAAAATAATTGATCATAGAGAAATCAGTGAAACAGTTTTATTTGGAAAAATGAGACAACTTAATAAAGAATAACAATCATGAAAAACAGTTTTAAGAGGATAACTGTATTTATATGATTGTCACTGTAAAATAGAATTATTACTATTCAATATTATATTCTATTATGAATATATGAATAATGAATAATGAATGTAATTAATTGAATAGAAATAATTCTATGTGTATATATATAATAATTGAATATAATTAATTGAATAGTCATATAGTCAAAAGACAAAGCCCAAAATTAAATAACTTCATTTACAGCAGCTTAGGAAAAAAAATATTTGATGGAATTCTTATATGTTGAGAAGAAGCCTTTTTTGTCCTCAAAATTTAACACACACTCTCATTCACTCTCCATATTTCAGGGACAAAATTAATATTATTAAAATTAAATTCATACATATATATGCATACCTACAGTTACATATACACCTAGGCTATATGGTATAGTCTATTGTTAGGCTATAAAGATGTACAGCATGTTACTGTACTAAATACTATGACAATTATAACACAATGGTAAGTATTTGTATATCTAAACATATATAAATGTAAAAAGTTACAATAAAAACATGACATAAAAGATAAAAAGTGCTACACTTGTATAGGACACTTATGAATGAAGCTTGAAGGACTAGAAGTGGCTCTGGGTGAGTCAGTGAGTGAGTGGTGAGTGAATGTGAAGGTCGAGGACACTCCTGTACTCTACTGTAGACTTCAGAATCACTGCACACTTAGGCTACATCACATTCATTTAAAAAATATTTTTCTTTCTTTAATAATAAGTTAACCTCATATTATTGCAAATTTTGTACTTTCTAATTTCTTATTTTTTTAATTTTAAACTATTTTTATAATAACCTTTAGACTTAAAATACAAACACATTGGACAGCTGCACCAAATATTTTTTCTTTATGTCATTATTCTATAAGTTTTCTAATATTTTTAATTTTTAAATTTTATTTGTTAGCTTGTAAACTCTTGTTAAAAACTAAAACAGTAACACAAACATTAGCCTAAGCCTACACAGGGTCAGGGTCCTCAGTATCACTGGCTCATCTCCACATCTTTCCAACTGGAAGGTTATCAGTGATAGAAACACACATGGAGCTCTTATTTCCTATGATAATAGTGCCTTCTTCTGAAATACATCCTGAAGGACATGCCTGAGGCTGTTTTCATTGTTAACGTTTATTTTTATAAGTAGAAGGAGGTCATTCTAAAATAACAATAAAAATCATACTATAGGCCGGGTGCAGTGGCTCATGCCTGTAATCCCAGCACTTTGGGAGGCCGAGGCAGGCGGATCACGAGGTCAGGAGATCAAGACCATCCTGGCTAACACGGTGAAACCCCGTCTCTATTAAAAATACAAAAAATTAGCTAGGCGAGGTGGCGGGCGCCTGTAATCCCAGCTACTTGGGAGGCTGACGCAGGAGAATGGCGTGGACCAGGGAGGCAGTGCTTGCAGTGAGCCGAGATCACGCCACTGCACTCCAGCCTGGGCGACAGAGCGAGACTCCGTCTCAAAAAAAAAAAAAACAAAATCATACTATAGTACATACATAAATCAGTTACGAAGTCATTTATTATCATGATCAAGTATTATATACTATACATAATTTTAAGTGTTAGACTTTTGTATGACTGGCAGCGCAGTTGGTGTGCTTACGTGAGCATCACCACAAACACGAGTAATGCACTGATTGTGCTATGCCATTACGACCACTCTGACATCACTAAATGATAAGAATTTCTCAGCTCCATTATAATCTTATGGGACCACCATTACACATAAAGTCCTTTGTTCACCAAAATATTCTTAGGTGGGACATGACTGTATAAACCCGATTCTCTTGATAACTTTTGTCGTGACCTTAGGAAAACTGTTTCCTTTACCTCCTCCTGTTCTTTTTTTCTCAATTTGTAAAATGGGAATAGTAATAGCTATACTGCCTTTCAAAAAATAAGAAACTAGTATATATTTTAAAAAGATATTTGTTACAGGAAATTGTTTACATAGCTAATGAATGAAACAACAAGTTAGTGAAGAGATATGAGACAACTCAGAATTTAGCAAACAAGGAGGCACTATCACTCCAAAGATTTGGAGGGAAAAGAAGGAAGGGTTTTACTAGAGCTCAGAAGTAGATCTGTTTGTGAATGTCACAGAAGAGTTGGCAGAGGAAATTCAGGCCCTATTTATATTTAATATCATCACAGAAAAATCTTTTTAAACAAAATATGGACCTCATTTAACCTAAACTGACCTGTTGTTTGATATCTCCTTAGGACAATAAAGTTTTCCAAACTTTGTGCCTGACCCATCACATCAATGTATTTGCTTCTGGGTACGGAGGAGTGTTACTCCTTGAGGAGTAAGGTTCATTCAGATCTGAGAAATGGACTCAGTTGTCAAGCCATAGGTATTGTTGGATGAAAAACACTAAAGAGAGACAGAGGGAGAGAGAAAGAGAGAAACAGAGACTTTATTATTTACTCCCCCATCTAGAAGCACTTGTGTCATAACGATAACTGTAGATGTGAACTTGAATTGTGCCTTTGCCACTGGGTTGACCTGTATCATGAGTAAAATGAAGAACTTCTTTCAGCACCAAGTCTCTTACCTTTCAAATGTAGGGGCAATTATGCTTATTATATCTTGCCTGAGTGACAGGTACTACTGTCTGTAAGGTTTCTTTTTAAAATGAAATTACATAGGATCATGCATTTTAAGGCAAGAACATAGCATTGTTAATAAATGATACAAACTGCAACTAGTGAAATCTTAAAAAGACCCTGTATTCTGGTATGCCCACATTTGTAGTCCTTGACTTGTCTATCTCCTGAGCCCCAGTTGTTACTAAGTTGTAAGCATTTTGGAACTTGGCATCCTTCAAGACTCTGAACTGCTGTACTCTGATATTTAAAATCGACTCTAAATATCTTGGAAATTGTTTGGAATAATCTCAAGTAAAGTAGCAAATTGTAAGTATTATTTAAAGGCTTTATCAAGATTTAAGGTTTTGTAAATAAAGTGGGTGTACTAGAAAGTACAGAACTTAGTATTCAGAGTAGCAATAGATAAATAACAAATTATCTCAAAATTTATTGGCTAAAATGAACAAAAACTATTCTATCCCACAAATACTGTGGTAGAATAATTCAAGATAGGCTTTGATTGGTGGTTCTGACTTTATATCTTACATGTAATTACAGTCAGATGGTGGTTGGAGCTAGAAGAGCAGGTCTGAGAGAGCTGGGCATCTTTTTCTCTTAATGTAGTCTTAGAACCAATGTGCTTTTTTTTGTTTGTTTTTTGTTTTTTTGCATGTGGAATAATTTGAGCTTCCTTGCAACATGGTGAGCTCAGAACAGTCAGACAGCTTACATAACAGTTATGATCACTGAGGACAGACACTACCTGAGAGAAAAATGAAAGCTGGGTTCTGATCCTGACCTAATGTACAATTGCTTGTATTACAGGCTCTTGGTTGAAACAGCCTGAGCCCACATGGTTTCAAGGGGAAGGAGGTGAGAAGGATTCCATCTCTCACTAAGACAAGTACCAACATATTTGACTGCTTCTTTTAAAATCACTAAAAAAAGATTCTATTCTCTCCACTTTCATAAATCAATCCCTGTTGCCTTATCAGAAAAACTAGCTTTAAAATGAGTTAATCCAAAGCAAGTAAAACAGAGACTAGTATATAATAAATTCTACAAAAAAACACAGCTACTAGTAACACTAGCTTAATTAATAAACATAGATATTTGCTTTTTACTAAAAAATCGAGGGCTTTTCAAGTGAAAAGGTATACATAATTTTCTGATTAATATTATGTAATTATCTTTACCCAGCTACTGGTGAATAGTGAGGGTTATTCCTAAGTTTTTTCAGGTGTCCATTAAGTTTTCTCATTTTTATTTTAGTCTTTGCTTAATGGACCAAGAATTGACTGATTGAGAAAGAAATCAAGACACATTAGCACTTTAAATCCAATGTTTGAAATAAGCAGATGCCTAAAGGGATCTGAGAGATGACAGAAAGAAAGACAGAGAGAGAGAGAAAGCGAGCATGCAAATGGGTTTAAAGAAAGTCTGGCTTTTCTTTAATGTACTATGTCTGGCTTTAAGTCTCTCAATCATCTTTAGACAGTAATTAGTAGAGCAGATTCAAGTCTCTTCGAATGCCATTGGAGCTCAAGTCCACGGAAGAAAATGCAAATTGACAGTAGAAATGTTCAACACTGTTAAAGCTCTACATTATAAATATTTCAATGAGGTAAAACAAGAGAGCAAAGACAGAATCCACAGACATGCCTGCTATAAAGCAACATGAAACGCAACGCAAAATAAAATGAAAAACCAATGGAGAGGTTGGAAAGAAAATACTTGCAGACAGATTTTTTTTGTAGCCTTGTTATTTTCCTTATACCACTATTAGATTTAGAGCTCCATAAAGACAGGTATCTTTTATAATAAAGATAAATAATGACAGATATTAAAATTATGTATACATAAATTATATACATAATTTATTTATAGTATAATATATAAAATTAAATATATAATATATAAATTATATGTGGAAATAATGTATTCATAAATTATAACATATATTTTACCACACTTTAAATCAATGTAGCCATATTATAAATATAATAAATATATAAACATTGTATTTATAATAGTAATAGATACTATTATCTAAATAAATTTATTTAAATGAATAGTAAATAATGAATAGTAATTATAGATCAATAGAGATATCCTGACCTAATTAAATCAAATTTATATATCATAAAATTCAACCATTTAAGGGATACAATTCAGTGGGGTATTTTTTTAGTATATTATCACAGTTGAGCAGACATTATTACATCCAATTTTAGAATATTTTTATTACTCTTAAAAAAAAAAAACCTGTACACTTGAGCAGTCCCACTGCATAATTCCCTATATTTCCAGCCATCAGGAACCATTATTATCCTTTCCATCTCCAGAGACTGGTGTGGACATTTTATATAAAAGGTGCAATATGCGGTCTTTTGTGCTTGGCCTCTTTCACTTAGCATAGGGTTTTCCAGGCACATCCATTTTGTAGCATATACTACTATCTCAATTCTTTTGTTGCTGACTAATAATATTCCATCATTGGGATATGTCACATTTTATTCATCCATTCATCAATAGATTACCACTTAAATTATTTCTGTTTGGTTATTATAAATGATGCTGTTATAAATATTTATGTATAAGTTGTGATGTTGACATATATTTTTAATTCTTTAGCTTATATAGATAGGAATGAAATTGCTGTGTCATATGGTAACTTTTTCGTTTTTGTGTTTTTAAATCTAATGGGTTTCTCCAGTAGACAACATGAGCAGAATTTTATTTTTTTATCAAGGCTGACAATTTTTTTTTGGATTGAACAATTTATTCAATTTTTATTTCAGGTAATTATTGACATAGTTTATGTGCTTTTAGAGTTTATTAAATTATGCTTTTATTTACCATTTCTGTTTCTCTTCATCTATTCTTTTTTATTTTATTATTCTTATTTATTATATTTACCACCTGATGCCACATGCTTACAATTACACATCTTTGCTTCCACCCATCTTCTTTATGCTATTATTGTAAAATATATCTCTATGTAATATATACACCATATAATATTTTATAATTATTTTTCCCGACAAGAGATTTTTAAATCAGTTAAGAAAATAAAGGCAGGTAAATATTATGTACAGTACCTTTACTGGTACGCCAGTGTTGTTTGGTTCATTTCCTAATGAATTTAAATTACTGTCTTTTTTATTTGCTTTCATCCTGAAAAGTTTTCTTTAATATGTTTTACAAGTCTGCTGGCAACACATTGCCTCAGTTTTTATTTACAATGAATTGCTCTTATTTCATCTTAATTTCAAAATATAGTTTTGCTGGGTTTTGGCTGATGTTTTTCTTCTCTTGTAGCATTTTGAGTATGTCATATAACTGTTTTTTACCCTTTATTTTGCCTAATGAGAAGTTGGTTCTTGATTTTATTGGAGTCCTTTTGTACATATGAATTGTTTTCTTTTTCTAATTTCAAGATATTTTTCATAGTTTTTGTTTTTTATTATTTTTACTGTGATGTTTTTAGATGTAAATTTCTTTGTGTTTATCTTACTTAGAGTTCAATGGGGTTTTTAGATTTGTAGATTCAGGTTTTTCCCAAAATTTGAAACATTTTCAGCCATTGTATCTTTGAGTATTTTTCTGCTCTTTTCTTTCTCTTCTGGTACTCTCATTGTACATACACTGACACACTTAATTAATGGTGTCCTAAATTTCTCTAAAGCTCTGATTATTCTTCTTTAGTTTTTTCCCCTCATTGTCTTTTGGATTCCATAATCTGTATCAATATGTCTCTGCATTTCTGATTATTTATTCTTTCAATTCAGATACACTTTTGAGATTCTAGTATACTTTTTTATAGAAACTAACATAATTTTACATTATAGTACAGAAATGATGATCTGCTATTTGTTGGATAGGACCTCCATTATATGAGTGTGGGATAGATGTAAGAACAGAGCCCTTGATCTCTTGGGTTCATTCATCTGAAGCTTATTCTCTGCAATATGAAACTGAGGGGTGGGAATAAAAAATTCTGGTGGCCTATTCCTCCTGATGAGATGCTATAGTGCCTACTTGAGATCTAAGAAGGAGGAAGCCTCATTTTTTTTGCCCACATAACCTGGAGTTTCTATAATGTTAATCTGGGGTAAAGAAGAGTGAAGCAGTGAGTCATGGGTCATGTTCCACTAACCCTCACTCTTCTCATTGGAATTTAGTAGGTTCTGTTGAAGGAATGTTCCTTCATTTGCTGCAAGCCCCCAAGATAGATTTCATACACTTTATGTGTTTATTTTTAATAATTGTCAACAGTTACAGTTTTACAGAGGACCAGATTCATGAAGGTTATCCTACAACCATGCTGGGAGTTGTCTCAAAATAGTTACACTTTTGTATTGTTCCTGATTTATGTATAGGTACACAAAACCTAGCACTTATCAGATGTTCACAGAATGCTTTTTGTAAAATAAAAGGAAAAAAAAGAAAAGAAAAAATAATAAGTGAACAAGGCTAAGGAATTCTAATATATTGACCAGCATTAAATGCTAGTGAAGTTGACTGCTCCCACATAAATAGGCTCAACACTATAGAAATATTAACTCAGGTTCTTTTTTTCTAATTTTGAAAATAGCATGTAAAGAGTATGCTTGGTTTCAGTTCTAAACAGCATCTGTAGATCAGAATCTAAGTGTGCCAACAAAGTAGATTGGATCACCATGAAAGCGAGATAACTCTGCCCTCCGCACCTTTTTCAACCAATAAGAATCTTTCAATATAGATTACTCTGTGCCTTCAAGAGAAACTTGGCTCCTTGTCAATTCAAACTGGAAAAAAAATGCACAGAGGAGAGTGAACACCTTCTCTGTTAACATGCTGAGGAAAATTTTACAATGAATCTTTACACAGTATTTCCAAAAAAACAAAAATTTATTTTTATTTCTTTGATAAAAATGAGTCTTCTGCCCTGTTAGGTGTCTGGATATTTCACCTGTAATACTCATAAAAAATGAGAATTCCCGGCTGGGCGTGGTGGCTCATGCCTGTAATCCCATCACTTTTGGGAGGCAGAGGCGGGCAGATCACTTGAGGTCAGGAGTTCGAGACAAGCCTGGCCAACATAGTGAAACCCTGTCTCTATTAAAATACAAAATTAGCTGGGCATGATGGTGCATACCTGTAATCCCAGGTACTCAGGAGGCTGAGGCAGGAGAATCACTTCAACCTGGGGGGAGGAAGTTGCAGTGAGCCAAGATCATGGCATTGCACTCCAGCCTGCCCAAAAAAGAGAAACTCCATCTCAAAAAAAAAAAAAAAAAAAAAAGATAATTCAGGCTCTCATATAAGCTAATAAGTGAAGAATTCTAATAAGTGAAGCTATTAAGTGAAGATGTATAAGTCAGGAATATCTGGAATCAATGCATTTATTTTTCTTTTCCATAGTTACTGCATATCCTTTCAGTCATGGGAATAAAGTAAATCCATAGCATTTAAAATATATATTTAGTTCTGATCCTCAGCTTCTGTTGCTAATCTATAAAAATGGGCGCTTTCAACCATGAGACTAAAACACCCTGGAACTTACTAAGCATTATTTAATAAACTCTTAGCCTTTTGCATTTCTTTTTGTTTTAGTACGTATTTTTCACTTTTAGTTTATCTGAAATCTGGCATTCGGATAGCCAAAAAAAAAAAAAAAGCATAATTTTCTTCCTTTTACATTGAAAAACAAAACAACTCAAATGCATTTCTATTGTTGGTTCTGCTACAATAATGAAACAAAAGTGTTTTAAAAATAAAATAGTATAGCAGGAAATGGGCTTTATACCAGATGTGTCTCACAAATTTCAGCTTTCCCATTCTTTAGTCAAAGGCCTTAGATAATTACTTTTTTGCAACATCATAATAATATCTTTATTATATTTTACAATAATTTAGCTTGGGATGTTTGTCTTTTCTGACATGTTATATAGGGAAACCTCTATTCCTGAAAAAACTCTACATTGAAAGGGGGAAATGGGTCAATATCACATGAAATATCTTTTTATATTAGAATTCTTTCTTAGCCACAACTGCAGTCATCATTTACATCAATCAGTTTCTCAGGGACTGTGAAATTCTAGAATGTAGCAGTAATGCTTATCAAATAATCATCTCTCAAATAATAATCGATTGTCCGTGACCAATTGAGTTTCTTACTCACTGTTAATACAAAATAATCACGAGAGTTTTAAAGAAACCATAATCAAAGCAATATCTCCAACATGTGAACTTGTGATCACTGTTTTTAAAAATGTTTTTATCAATTAGCAAATGAGGGAGAAGTGTTTTTTCAAGACATGTTATAATATAAAACCCTTCCCCCAACTTTTCTTTAGTACACTGAAATTCATTTCTAAATTCAAGTAATAGTCATTTAATAGAATGCCAAGATTATACCCTGACAGTCATCACAATTTGTATTTCTGAAGTCACAAAATCAGACCTATACACTCTATAAATAACAAATACAATCTATATTGAATACATTTGTAAAGTCACAGTCATAATTTCTGTTGTTTATACTTTGTAAATCACATATATATTCCGTGTTACTCAATTATCTTAGTGCAAACAGAGCATGTCCGAAGGAAGGATATCAGGATGTGAGAAGATTTCGAAGCAAGCCCTGCACGCAGTCATTGAAAGTACTTTTTCATTTTGATTTTCCTAAGAAAAAGAAAACCCTTAATGAAGATCGCGATTTTCTTAAACCATCACAGTGTTTCATGGGAAAGAATAACATGCTATCTTTGTGACTCTAAAACAGAGTAAATGCCCTATGTATTCAGGAAAACATACTGATATAATGGAAAGCAAACACTTAAAACAACCAGAAATGGAAAAAGATGTCTCAGTGGTTTGGGATACCACTTAAATACATGGGAATCTATGTATTCATAGACGTTCAAGTGCCAGATTTCAGATAAACCTATCAGAACCTTTTAACCCCGAGACCCTAGAATTAGCTAATTTGTCCTTTCTCTTTCTCTTGTTGTTGTTTAATGTGATTTTCAGTGCATTGTTTTCTCCAGGCATCAATTCTGAGACCTAAGTATGTCCTCCAAATTTAGACTTAGATGAATCCATTTCGACTTTTTACTGTCATCCTTTCTTCTCCCAAAAATTTCATTTTTTTTCTCTCTACCCTTTCTGATTTGCCATAACATTTACCTTAAAGGATTGTCTTAAAGGGTTCTCTTTATTGTCTTTTTTTCTCTATCAGCAGCATTAAAACAAGTAAAAGAGCACTGTTTTGCTCCCTGAAGCCTGAATTCAAAGTTTCTTAACATAACCTATCTACCTATTTTCAATGAAGTTCACATTCTCTATTATCAGACTATCTAAATTACATGATTTGCCCTTTCCCACAGGGGAACCATTCAAAGACCCCTAGGGGATTGCTGAAATAGTGGAGAGTACTTGAACCCAAGCACTGTGATGGTGCAACAGCTGATCTGATAACCAAGAAGCCTCCTAAGTCTAATGTTCTGGGGGCCTCTACAGCGTGGATACAGTGGGCAAAGAGATGATTTGTATCCCAGGCAGGAAGGAGCGGGATGGCGCAAGATTTCATCAGGCTACTTAGAAGAACGGGCAATTTAAACCTCAGGAATGGCTTATTTCTGGAATATTTCATTTAGTATTTTCAGATCATGGTTGACCACAGGTAAAAAACTACAGAAAGCAAAGCCATGGATAAGGGCAGACTACTGTACTTCAAACATCACAGTTATGTTTAAATATACAAAGAAGAAAGGATATCAAGCTTTATTTCATGTTCAGAATATCCACAGCCCTCTAATAAGCAATTTATGGCAATCGTGTTATTTAATTTGTATAACAACCATAACAATAGATATTCTTTTTTTAGCAGAATACCAGTGTTCAGCAGATCAAATAATTTTCCCATGTCACAGGTGTACTTTGACTCCTAATTGCATTCACACTCCACAAGCTCCACCTCCCTTGTTCACGTCATTCTCCTGCCTCAGCCTCCTGAGTAGCTGGGACTACAGTTGCCCACCACCACGCCCAGCTAACTTTTTTGTATTTTTAGTAGAGACGGGGTTTCACCGTGTTAGGATGGTCTCAATCTCCTGACCTCATGATCCGCCCGCCTCGGCCTCCCAAAGGTATGCTGTTTTAATAACATAGCTATGAATCCTATACAAAGTCGTTTCTGTTACAATATATTGATTAAGGCAGTAACAGAAGAGAGGAGAAATAAATCTCCATTCTGTGATTAAGGCAGTAACAAAAGAGAGGAGAAATAAATCTCCATTCTGGCCAGATACCACAAGAGCATGTGGTAATGAAATATCATTCTGCATATTTTAGACAACATGTTCTTCTACATTACCTAAACAAGTTTACCTATGGTACAAAGCAGACTTTTTCTACTATTCTGAATTGTTTAATTGTTTTTCTTTTTCACTTGTTGATATGGACCTTAGAGTGTCAGCATGGACCAAAAGCGTTCCACAGATCAAATTGAGTCTCATTGGATCTCATTAAGTACAACTGTTAGATCCTTGACTGTTGTCTTAACAATTCTCACTGACGTTGGAATCAACCAGCAAAGTGCCACATTGATTTTCCAACTCTGGCTTTTAATATAACTGGATTTGCACCGAGTGCCCAAGAAAAACTGAAAATGCCATTCACTCCTCTATAACATAATGTGATTGCATCACAGTAAAATATTTGATGTTTAATAACAACTACAGTTGCATTTCTGCCATTGTGTATTGCAGTACATACATAGAATGTGTTGTAATTCAGCATATCAACAACATGTTTCTCTCTAAAAGGGTGAAATTATTATTTTATTGTTCCCTATTTTCTTTCTCCTTGTTTTCTGTAACATCAATCCTGAAAATACTACAGTCCTATAATGCCTTTTGTTCTAACTGTAGGTGTTTTCAAAATAATCAATATGTAATAATTAGAAATATATGAAGTATCAGAACTGAAGTGATTAAGGATAAATAAACAAGCAAACAAAGCCAAGGCTCACATTATGAAGTTTACAAAGCTATGGTTAACGTTATCAAGTAAAGCTACTCTTGGTTTGCAATCAGTATCACATATTTATAAACTAATATTTGGTCCTCAAAATGTTTGCTGTGTTTGAAATCCTTCAAACACCCTCTTTTTCTTCACTTTATGTATTCTAACACTGATATCTTTCTTGCTTTATCTCACAAGAGCTGCTAAAGGAGTCTAGACTTTATGAAAATGTGTGTTCTTGAGAATTTCCTTTCTCGAAACACAGAACAGATGAATAGATATACTTTGTTCTATTTCTTCTGCTAAGTACAACTAAAAACCTAGGGCATTATATATAAGACACATATAAAAACATTGTGAAGGAGAGAAGAAGAGAAGAGTGCTGGGGAACCCTGGGCCTAAGGAATGCCACAGTAGTGAATTCCTTGGGTTTCCTTTTCACCTTATTTATCCCAGACCCAGAGCTAAAGAAGCCACCATCCCAGAAATGCCAACGGCTACAGACAAAAATCCCCAATTAAAGTCTGCTATCTTTAGCTGAAAGGCCAGAAAAGGAACTTCTAGCAAGAAAGAAACATTTTAGAAAATAATCTACTTTAGTCAAACACCACAACAAAACTGTGGCCCCACTCTCATTAACACTAGCAGAGTTGGAGTGATAAATCTAGACTTCCACCTCATTTACCACGCTGGAATGACGTTTCCCAACACCTGCACCAGAGTAGCATCAGAAAAGTGAGCCAGAACTTTCATCGCTATCACATGGTAGCTTTCATCTCCACTTCTCACATGGTATCAGAAGAGACATATGGTCAGCCTAGACTTCCAGCCCCGCACCCCCATGCCAGCAGTAACAAGGCACCCCTCACCTCCTGTTGGGAATAGACCCCCCAAAATCTGGCCTTAAACTGGCCCCAAAACTGGCCATAAACAAAATCTCTGCAGCACTGTGACATGTTCATGATAGCCATAACATCCACGCTGGAAGGTTGTGGGTTTACGGAATGCGGGCAAGGAACACCTGGCCCACCCAGGGAGAAAAACTGCTTAAAGGCGTTCTTAAACCACAAACAACAGCATGAGCAATCTGTGCCTTAAGGACATGCTCCTACTGCAGATAACTAGCCCAACCCATTCGTTTATTTCAGCCCATCCCTTCGTTTCCCATAAGGGATACTTTTAGTTAATCTAATATCTATAGAAACAATGCTAATGATTGGCTTGCTGTTAATAAATACGTGAGTTAATCTCTGTTTGGGGCTCTCAGCTCTGAAGGCTGTGAGACCCCTGGTTTCCCACTTAACACCTCTATATTTCTCTGTGTGTGTCTTTAATTCCTCTAGCGCCGCTAGGTTAGGGTCTCCCTGACCGAGCTGGTCTCGGCAACCTCCCAGTTGGGGTGGTGTCAGAGGAAGCCTAGTAAAGGACTTTCACCAACGCCAAGTAGTAATAAGGCCACAGGCACATCCCATGATGTTACATCTAATACAAAAAGCCAGAGACATCACGAATTGAACAGAAAACACAACCAAAAGATGTCAGCACTGAGATGACAGAGGTATTAGAATTATCTTCCAAAGATTTTAAAGTGACATCATAAAATGACTAAGCCAATGATTAAGAAGACATTTGAACTTGATAAAGAGCATTTATGGAACTTACAGCTTACATTTACTTAATGATAGAAGACTGAATGCATTCCTACTAAGGTTGAGAACAATGAAAGATTATCTGTGTTCATCACTCTTTTACAACACAGTGCAATAAGGCTGGCAAAAAAAAATAAAAGGCATGCAAATTACAAATAAAATGCCTCAATATGCAGATAACATTAGTGTCTATATAGGGAATTCCAGGAAACCTACCAAGAAAATGTATTCAATAATGATTTCAATAAGGTTGCATGACATAAGATAAACTTACATAAATCAAATCTATTCCTATTATTTAGCAATAAATATGTGGATACCAAAATTGAATAAATAATAAAATAAAATACTTACATATAAATCTGAAAAACTCATGCAGGAGTAATATGCTGAAAACTACAAGATGCTGATCAAAGAAATTAAAGATGTAAATAAATGAAGAAATTCAGGTTCATAGACTGGAAGATTCAACTTTGTAGTATATCAATTATCCACAAATTGATATAAAAGTTTTATTCATTTGCTATCAAAATCTCAACAAGAACTTTTAGAAATATAGGCAAGATTATTCTAAAATATATAGGAAAAGGAAACTAATCAAGAATAGCTAAAACAATTTTGAAAAATAAGAGTAAAATGAGAAAGAAAAAGTCTACCTCATTTCAACACTTATTAAATCGCTACAGTAATCAAGACTCTGTAGTATTATTGGAGGAAAAGACATGTAGTTGAAGGGAACAGAATAGAGGGCCAAGAACTAACACCACATGAATATGTACATATGATTTTTGACAAAAATGTAAAAAACAATTAAATGCAGTAGAGATAACTTTTAAATCAATGGTGCAGGAGCAATTGAAACTCCACAGGCAATAATGAACCTCAATCTAAGTTTTACATCTTATATAAAAATTAAATAAAAATAGATTCTAGAGTTAATTTAAAAAAAATACAAATTATTAAAAAAAAAAAACAGAAGAAAATCTTTGGGATCAAGGGCTATGGAAGAGGTAAGGTTGGGGTTCGTTGACTAGATACCAAAATCACAATCCGTACCATGAAAAATTGATAAACTCTACTTCAACAAAATCAGTACACTTTACTCTGTGAGGACTCTGGCAATAGGATGAAAAGAAAAGCTACAGACTGGAAGAAAAATGTATAAACTATACCTCCATTAAAGAACTAGTCTCTAGGCTATCTAAAGACCTCTCAAAACTCAACATTTTAAAAAATCCAGTTAGAAAATAGTCAAAGGATATAAAGCGCATTTCACCAAAGATGAATAATCGCATTAAAAAAAAGTTCAATATTATTACCCGTTAGGGAAATGCAGATGAAAATCACATGAGCCATCATCAAACATCTATTAAAATGGTGATAAGATAGATAGAAAGATAGATAGATAGATAGATAGAAGATAGATAGATGATAGTAGATGATAGATAGATGATAGAAGATAGATAGATGATAGAAGATAGATGATAAATAGATGATTGATAGATAGATAGACAGATAGACAAACAACAAATGCTGATGAGGGTACTGAGAAACTGATTCATTCATATTTTCCATATGGGAACTTAAAATGACATGGAAACACTGGAAAATATGTTTTTTAAATAATTTAAAATGCAACTACCACAAGACCAAACAATTGTACTCTTCACCCTTTACCCCAAATAAAGGAAAGCTTGTGTTAGCGTGAAACTTTTTCATGGATGTTTATTGCAGCTTTATTCGTAACAGTCACAAATTGGAAACAGCCCAGATATCTTTCAATGGATGAAAGCTGACATTAACTATTATACATCCATACCATTAAATGCTAGTCAGCAATTTTTAAAAGATCATACTATTGATATATGCAATAATCTAGATGGATCTCCAGAGTATTATGCTCAGTGAAGAAGAGTTAATTCCAAAAGGCTATATACTGTATTATCTCGTTCATGTAACATTATGGCAATGACAAATTTACAGAGATGAAGAAGAGACCTAATTAGGGCTTAAAGAGGATATTGGGCAGGAGGGAAGGAGTTTCGTTTTAAAAAGGAAATATAGGGGATCTTTGCAGTGATGGAAATGCTCAGTATGTTGAGTGTACAAATAGCATATATTGGTTGTGATATTATTGTATTAGTTTTATAAGAGATTTTTATTGGGGGAAACTGTGTGAACCATATGTGAGATCTTTCTGTATTATTTCTTAAAACAGCACACCAATCTACAACTACTTCAAAGTTAAAAGCGTAATTAAAATTTACATTACATAATACTTTATTTACTGGGCAGGGTGCCAGTAAATGAGAGTTCAAGCCAGGTGGATCACGAGGTCAGGAAATTGAGACCATCCTGGCCAACATGGTGAAACCCAGTCTCTACTAAAATACAAAAAAACTAGCCAGGTGTGGTGGCACGTGCCTGTAGTCCCAGCTACTCGGGAGGCTGAGGCTGGGGAATTGCTTGAACCCGGGAGGCGGAGGTTGCGGTGAGCCGAGATTGCGCCACTGCACTCTAGCCTGGCGATAGGGCAAGACTCCATCTCAAAAAATAAATAAATAAAATAAATAAAATCCTTTATTTAACATGCATTACAGGTCACCTCCAACATATCATACTGAAAGTGTCTTGAAGATAGGAAATATTATTTATTTTATTTAATTAATTTATGTATGTATTTATTTTGGGGGCAGGTCTTGCTCTATCACCTACGCTAGAGTGCAGTGGCAGAATCCTAGCTCACGGCAGTCTAGAACTCCTAGTTTCAAGCAATCCTCCCTCCTCAGCCTCTGAAGTCACTGGGACTACAGGCACACACCACCATTCCTGCCTAGTTTTTTTTAATTTTTAATTTTCTTGTAGAGACGGGTATTGCCATGTTTTTCGAGCTGTTTTTCAACTTGTAGGCTCAACCGATCTTCTCACCTCAGCCTCCCAAATCCCTGAGATTAGGAGAGTAAGGCACTCTGCCTGGCCAAGAAACATTATTTAGAGCTTTCAACTACTTTTTTCTGCACCCCCTTCTTGTGACCATGGCTAACGAATCTTAAAAACACCAGTCCCATCATTTCCCATTTCAGCATGTCTATACTTAAAACCTTTCCTTTGCTTTACACTGCTTTTTAATCAAAGATTAGCATAGACTTTGTGGCCCAGTACCAATCATGGCCTGTACACTTCTTCAGTAGCATCTCATTCCTCATCGCCTCTCTTTTGGTGCTTCAGGCAAACTGAACAGTTCCTGATCATGTCCAGGTCCTTCCTATACAGGGTTTCCTGGCTTGGATCCTATGAACACTGGTCTTACTTTCCGAAACACCCTTTAAAAGACTGCAGTCAGTGGAAGTGGAATAAATTTAGTTACATACTATTTAAGGTTTTAAAATGTGGGCAGTGGGAACATTGTTTGAAAATAAATTTTGCTGGAAAGACAAGGAAGCTATGAAGACAAACTTACCAGAGAGATAATATTTGAATCCAGTCTTAAGAAGCTTGTCATATAGTAGGGCTCACCATAACGCTATATAATTAAGTGCTACATAAGGATTTTGTTTGTTTTGTTTTTTTGTTTTTTGAGGAGTCTCTCTGTGATTCCCAGGCTGGAGTGCAATGGCGTGATCTCGGCTCACTGCAACCTCCACCTCCTGGGTTCAAGTGATTCTCCTGCCCCAGCCTCCCGAATAGCTGGGATTACAGGTGCCTCCTGCCACTCCTGGCTAATTTGTGTATTTTTAGTAGAGACAGGGTTTCATCATATTGGCCAGACTGGTCTCGAACTCCTGACCTCAAGTGATCTGCCCGCTTCAGCCTCCCAAAGTGTTGGGATTACAGCCATGAGCCACCGCGCCAGGCCCATAAGGATGTATTGGTTAACAAGAAACCACATACATGATGGCGGTCCCATAAGATTATACCACCATAATTTTGCTGTATCTTTTCTATTTTTAGATATGTTTAGACACATAAATACTTACCATTGTGTTACAATTGTCTACCATATTCAATACAGTAACATGTATGTTATAGATTTATAGCCTAGGAACAATAGGCTATACCACATAGCCTAAGTGACCTAGGTTGTGTAAGTACACCTTGTGACAGTCACACAATAATGAAATTGTCTAACGATGCATTTCTCAGAACATAGCCCCATCATCAAATAGATAAAAATGAATGACAGATGTATGTATCCTCTAGTGTGCTATAAAAGGGTAGCATTTTGGAAATTTTGTTCATGAGTTTCTCAAATGTTAGAAACATATGAAAGTCTGTCATCTTTAGAAGTCCTTCAAAGAGATTAAAATGCCAGCAATACAGTTGCTTAAATTGGTAAGATTTTTAAAGGCACATATATTTAGTAGTGACTTCTTTTTAAACATGAAGCACAATTTTAACAATGAAAATCCTTAAGCCTATGAGGCATTAGCACTTCTTCCACCCTCCCCTTCTCTAATCAGTTTAATATGTGCTCCATGAAAAGACACTTTTCATGGAAGCACTTCTTTCCACATATTTTCTTACTTTAATGGCATCAGGAAAATCCCATAATCACTTCACCTCTGGATCAGTTTGTTAGCTTTCACCAGAACACAGCTATGTGGTTTTAGAATTAAGGAGAGGCAGTAGAGGGAGCTCTGACAGCCTCAATTCTAGGGCCGAAATTTTTCCCTTTCAGTGAGCCACAATCTCACAGCCTCAATGAAGAACTAACGCCTTGTGAGATCCAATGTGATTTTTGAGAAGAATATTTGAGATAATGCACATAAGACCAAAAGCAGAAATTGTTTTAATATCCACATTGTGCCCCACTTTTATGAAGATCTTTAAAATCACTATTGATAAAAGACCATCATCTTACCATATGCCTGGGCGACATCCCCATCCCTTTTCTTGTATCTTTTCTGTTATCTTAAATGTCAAGCATAGATTTCAAAATCAATACCTAAATGTATTTGGTGCAACACTGTAAAATTTAATTTGTCTTTCTGATGGAAAAGGAGAACAAAATAACACTCCCTCTTCCCTACTCCTGGCCCCCACTTATTTGTCCTTCTGATCAATAGTAGTCTTGATTTCCTGGTCTTGAAGCCTAATTCTAATTTACTCTCCTGTGTTCTCCCAAATCTACAGTTTACCATTCCATTGACGTCCCACCTGCCTTTTCTAATCACAAGCCAGTAGTTTGATGACAGAAAGAGCTAGTGACCTTCTCTGATATAGGTCCCTTAGAAAATTCTCTTCTGGGGTTAGTGCAAGTGACAAGACAAAATTCACAGCCATTGCTACTAATGACATCTAGCAGCAGCATTAAAAAAGGAAACCTCTTCGCACAGCTAACAAAGGTCATCCAGAAAACACCAGTGCTAGCTTGCAGTGAACACCAGAGTCGCTGCCCATCATAAACCCAATTACTCACTCCTGCTGTGTCTCGGGGTATCTGTAACTACTCACCAGCAACCATCCTTGGACTGTGGCCACCAATCGTGCCATTGTACTAAAGTCAGGAGAGAGATTTCTTTCTGTGCATTGACCTAAAAGGAAAAAAATAAATTTAAAAAAATACTGAACCTCCCTTCTGCAATAAAACAAAATGGCTTTCATTGTTCTGCCACATCTTGTCATTCAGACTTAGGATATCACTCCAGCTGATGCTGAACCCTAGGTTTTTTAAAATTTGTAAAACAAGGGTAATAATGTCCATAGCAAAAGGCTTTGTAAGCATCAGAGATGATGTATGCAGTGCTTGACACAATGATTGGCACAATGAGAGAGGTTTATTAAGATTGTGATATTATGTGTATTGTGATTTCTCATGTCTTTGTCTTACTGAATAATTTGAAAAAGTGTTAAGACATCCATTTAGTTGTTATTATGAATTGATGTGATTATTTTTACATGTGCTTGTGCTGTGAGGTACTGAGTCCTAGTAAAAGGACTGTCATCACAAAATGTCCCCAGATGCAAACTGTCCATTTAAAATAAGTGGTCACCAATTATTCTCCATTCTTTACCTCAGCCAGCCAAGAACTGAAAATGGACTTGGTTAGAATTACAGAAGGAGTAGTAGAGTCAGTGGGAGAATAATGAGATCCATTTCAAACATTGATCTGGAAGAATCATGAGACTCATCCTAATAACTAAATTCAGAAGTCAGAAGCTAGAGAAAGTTTTCATTTTACTTTAGGGTATAGATTTACAAAACCCTTGTTAGATTGCAAAACCATTTTAACTTATCTGTATATGATAATTTTATTGTTTGAAAATTGTCTCCTTGAGGTTATAGGCACTAACTATCTATAGAGCGTAAGTTAAATGTGGTATTTTCTTTAAGGGATTTTAAAAGTGGAAAACTTAGTGTTTGCTTTGACACTCGTCTGCAACAAATATAAACTTAGCATCTACTTTTTTTTTTATTATACTTTAAGTTTTAGGGTACATGTGCACAATGTGCAGGTTAGTTACATATGTATACATGTGCCATGTTGGTGTGCTGCACCCATCAACTCGTCCTTTAACATTAGGTATATCTCCTATGCTATCCCTCACCCCTCCCCCCACCCCATAACAGGCCTCGGTGTGTGATGTTCCCCTTCCTGTGTCCATGTGTTCTCATTGTTCAATTCCCACCTACTTTGTGTATTCTGTTTGTCCTGGAATTATTACGATAAATAAGTTATAACCTCAGTTTTCAAAATGCTTATAGTACAAAGGGAAGGCAGGCATTGAAACAATTTTTGTTTAATAACACAATTATTATAGCAAAGTGTAATAGTCATGGTTAATAGTGATGACAAAAGGCATCACAGATAGTCAACATAGACATACCTCAGAGGTATTGCAGGCTCAGTTCCAGATCACCACAATAAAGCATATATTGTAGTAAAGCAAGTCACACAGATTTTTTTCTTTTTTGGTGTTTATAAATATCATAAGTCTATTAAATCTACATATAGTCTACTAAGTGTGCAATAGCAGTTTGTGTAAAAAAGTGTACACACCTTAGTTAAAAAATACTTTATTTCTACAAAAGTTCTAACAATCACCTGAGCCTTTAGCATGTTGCATTCATTTTGCTGGTAGAGGGTCTTGCCTCACTGTGGATGGCCACTGTCTGATCAGGATGGTCATTGCTAAAGCTGGAGATGGTTGTGGCAATTTCTTAAAATAAGACAACAATAAAGTTTGCCACATCAGTTGATTCTTTCTTGTCACAAAAATTTTCCCTGTAGCATGTGATGCTGTTTGATAGCATTTTACTCACAGTAGAACATCTTCCAAAATTGGTGTCATTCCTCTCAGACTATGCCACTCTTTGTCAACTAACACTATATAACCTTCTAAATCCTTTGCTTTCATTTCAGCAATATTCACAGCAACTTCACCAGGAGTAGTTTCCATCTTAGACAATTTCTTTGCTCATTCATGAGAAGCAACACCTCATCTATTAAAGTTTTACCATGAAATAGCACCAATTCAGTCATATCTTCAGGCTCCATTTCTAATGCTAGTATTCTGTTTATTTCCAGTACATCTACAGTTACTTCTTCCAGCTGAAGACTTAAACCCCTCAAAGTCATGCATGAAGGTTGGAATCACCTTCTTCCAAAGTCCTCTTAATGCTGATATTTTGACCTCCTTCCATGAATAATGAATATTCTTAATGGCATCTAGAATAGTAAACTATTTCCGGAAAGTTTTCATTGTATTTTGCTTAGATCCATCAAGAAAATTACTACCTATGGCAGCTATGGCTTTACAAAATGTCTTTCTTAAATAATGAGACTTTAAAGTCAAAATTGTTTCTGATACATGGATTGCAGAATAGATTCTGTGTTATCAGACATAAAAACAAAATAAATCTCCCTCTGTATCTCCATCAGAGCTCTTGGTACATTATCAATTAACAGTAATATTTTGAAAGAATTTTTTTTTTAGCAGTAGCTCTCAACAGTAGGCATAAAATATTCAGGAAACCATGTGGTAAACAGATATCCTGTCCTCCAGGATTTGTTATTCCATTGATAGAGCACAGGCAGAGTGGAATTAGTATAATTACTAGGGGCCTTAGGATTTTTGACATGGTAAATGAACACTGGCATTGACTTAAAATCCCCAGCTGCATTAGACCCTAACAAGAGAGTCAGTCAGTCCTTTGAAGACAGGCATTGACCTCTCCTCTCTAGTTATAAAAGTCCTAGTTGGTATCTTTTTCTCAATAGAAGACTGTTTCATCAACATAATCTTAGCTAGATCTTCTGGATAACTTGCTGTTGCTTCTATATCAAGATTTGCTGCTTCACCCTGCACTTTTATGTTGTGTCTATAGCTTCTTTCTTTAAACTTCGTGAATCAACCTCTGCTAGCTTCAAAAATTTCTTCTGCAGCTTCCTGACCTCTTAGTCTTTATAGAATTGAAGAGAGCCAGGGCCTTGCTCTGGATTAGATTGTTTTGTTTTAAGGAATGCTTTGGCTGGTTTGATCTTTTATCCGGACCACTCAAACTTTCTCCGCATCAGCAATAAGGTTATTTTGCTTTCTTTAACTTGTATGTTCACTGGAGTAGCACTTTCAGTTTCCTTCAAGAATTTTTCCTTTGCATTCACACCTTGGACAACTGATTGGACCAGAAGGTCTAGTTTTTGTCCTGTATGGGTTTTTGAAATACCTTCCTTACTAAGCTTAATTGTTTCTAGCTTTTGATTAAGAATGAGACACGTGACTCTTCTTTTCACTTTGAACACGTGGAGGCCATTGTAGAGTCATTAATTGGCCTAATTTCAATACTGTTGTGTTTCAGGAATTAGGGAGGTCTAAGGTATGACAGAGAAATGGAGGAACTGCTGATTGGTGGAGCAGTCAGAACACACACGATATTATTGACAAAGTTCACTTTCCTACATGGGCACAGTTTGTGATGCCCCACCAAACGATTACAATATTGACATGAAAAATCACTGATCACAGATCACCATAAATGTATAATGATAATGAAAAAGTTTGAAATATTAAAAGAATTATAAGAATTTTACTCAAAGACACAAAGTGATGACAGGCTGTTGGAAAATTGGTGCTAATAGACTTGCTTGATGCAGGGCTGCCATAAACCTTCAATTTGTAAAATAATGCAATATCTTTGAAACACAATAAAGTGAAAAACAATAAAATGAGGTATGCCTTTGTTTGGTAAGAGAGTTAAAAAGCAGATAGAATTTCACCAGGTTTACAATTTGGATGACAGATTCGGAGGTTTTAGATGTTTTATGTGGTGCAAAAAAAAAAAAGAAAAAAAAGAAAAAAAAATCTTTACATGTTCTTTTCTTCTCCTTTTGGAAAACTACAAAGACTCTATATATCCAGGGTGGTAGTTAGGGAGTTAGCAAAGACTAGAACAGAAAGAGGCAGCTACCAGGACAGTCTGAGATTCTGACATTAGCAGAAAGGAAAAAAAGGAAAACCAAGTTACCAAGAAGGAACTGAGAAATAACCCACAGTGGAAAGTAGAATGATCTATGGCTTTTTTTCCACTATATTATTTCTCAACATCATAATCGTCTTATATATTCAGATCCATAGGGGTCTTTGACTTTTCCTAAAAAAGTTGATTTTGACAGCATTTAAACAATGTTTTATAGTGACAACTCAGGGCCCTCTAGGAAAGAATATCATGTTATCTACATGAGCATGTTTCTAAACTGGTAAATGACAGGAATTCCTATCCTGTGCCTCACATCGTGCACTGCCTATGTTGGTAATTATATGCTATTCTCTCTTATGAGACTAAGACATTCAAGGGTAAGAGTACTATTTTATTTACTTTGAATGAACATCTTGGGGTGATCACTAAAATTGTTTTTAGTATCAGTGCATGCCCGGAGTCTAAGAATCTTGGAATAAGTGGAGATTTCTGAGACAAGGTGTTCATTTCAAAATGATAGGGGATATCACAGCTAAGGTTGCTACAGAAGGTAATTCCAACATGGTACTCTAACAGGAGGGGTGGAAGGTGTAGTCAGGGGAAATTTAGAATGTCACACAATGGAAGAATCAGAAATATTTTCAAGAAGCACTACAAATCAATTGTGATAAACTAGGGCTCCAGCAAGTACCAGAAGGCTGAATCTGACAATATCAGGTTAAGAACAATTATCATTGCTCCTAACAACACTAACTACAACGTAAGGGGCCTGAGTTTAGACTTTGTAGGACATAATTCAAATCCTGGCTTTTTCATATTATTGTTTCATACCCGTGAACAGCTATTTAATATAACTAAGCTTTAGGTTCCTCAACTGTAAAAAAAGAGAGACATATATTTATTCTTCAAAGTGATTGCAATGATTTGTTGGGATTATGTCTCACATAATATATGGATCTTATCCCTGCTCTTTCTTTCATGCTGAGATAGAGAACTACACACAGTCCCACATCTAGGTACCAAGGCAGGTCTCTAGTAAGTGTTGAATTGAGCTTTAATATAGTGCATAGTTTGTGCTAAACCTTTAATTAATACTTGATACAGCAAATGAAATGATATAATCACTTTTCAATGTTAGGAAGCCATAGATGATTCAGGTTTACTGATAATTTCATTAAAAACAAATGCCATTGAAATAGATTACTCCATTCCTCTCTTTTTATAGAGGAACAAGGACAGAGATTAAGCATGTAGACAGAGCAAGGCTAAAAATTATACTGTGGCAATAGATTTTTAATTGTTCTCTTTTTACATTTTTCTCTTTAAGAGTTAAGTTGAATAGATAATCCAAGAGGTCCTTAGGGTAATATTTATTCTTTGTTTGGCTCCAAATAATTCAATGACTGTTCTTTCAGATCTATGGTTTTCAAAATGTTTTATGCAATAACACACAACATATCTCAGGGTGGTGTTTTGTTTGTGTGTGGTGTGTGCCTGTATACAAGAGTATTTTTTCTGCATATATTCTCCACAGATGCAGATTTATTTGATTTGAAGTAGAATAAACACATGTGGATTTTCACATGGAACAAAGGGAATTGGGAGGCAGGGTGTTTGTCTTCCTATTTGAGAAATACTATTTGCATTCAATCCTTTACTTTTCAATAATTTATCCAGTAAAATTATTTTAAAGTAATAATATAATAAACATCTGAGTGCCACAGCCTGACTAAATAAAATGGTAAGATTTTGCCATTGGCTTCATGGTTATTAAAATGGAATTGTGATTTCCTTTGTAAATTCTCCCTGATTCTATTCCCATCTCCCTACTCAAATGTAATCAATCTCCTAATGTTTTTCTCTATTCCATTCCTACAAATGTTTATTATACTATTATTATTTATTTATGCAGCTATAATCTATGTTTGCAGTTGCTTTTCATGTTCTCAGACTTTATATAATGTTATCATACAGCATGAATCATTCAGCATTTTGCTTTTTTTAGTAAATATTATAATTTGGGGATACTGGTGCACACATTGCCAGTTCATTCACTTCAATTACAGCACAGGATTCTGGTCCATGAATATCTCATACTTTATTTATCTGTATCCAATTGATGTGTATTTAGTTCCAATTTTTGCTGTTAAAAACAATGCTGCAATTAAACCCTCTGGTATATGTTTTTCTAAATGTATTCCTAGAAGTCACAGATTTTCTGGATGTCACTCTTTAAAATTACTTGGAAAAACAGTGAGAATTTTGGGCAATTTACTTAATTTGACCTGGCTCAATTTCCTTGCCTAAAAAATGAGGGTAGTAAGTCCTATAAGATTTAATTAAAAACTAAATGGTCATCTTTTGTGAAACATTAGCAAATTATGATAACAAATGGTCTCTCTCATTTTTTCTTTCTCATCCTAAATTGTATCTATAGACAGAGAACTGAACACACAGGGCTGCCACTGAGGCATTCAGCATTTCATGTGTTTATCTAAGTCAGAGAAGTCACCCATATAAATGAGAAACATCTGCATTCTGTCTGAGTTTGTCTGACTAACTTTTACATTGATATTCAAAATCATCATCTTTGAATTTCTGATTTTGTGACCCACACGTATGGGTGGTGTGTCTGTGTTTCTCTGATTTTCAAAAAGAAAAAGAAAACAATGCTACTGAATCTTATTTCTTATTCTGTTCCATCTCTCCTCCTCTATTTTACATTCATTTGCTTGTCCTTGCTGAGGCTTCTCAGGCTTTTCAACCAAATGCAAACATTAAATGAAGGTTTTCCTGCAATTTCAAAGCAAAGAAATTACCCTAAAGGGAGAGAAGGTAATTGTTGATTGTCCACAAACATAGTGAGGCTCAGCATGCATATTTGGAAGGAGAAAGGGAGGTCTGAGCTAAGAATAAGAGTGCAGGACAGTGGTGCTGCCTGATACAAGTTGTTAGGACAGGGTAGGGAGAAAATCAAAGAATAAAGATGATATTCTTAATATGTATGTAGATAGCTCCGTCATGAGAACCTTGTCTCCTTCACAAGACAGAGCACAAAACTGCCTATGTTTGGGGATTTCAAGGTTATAAGAAGGGCCAGTGTCACACTTCATTTACCCCTGCCTCAGATAATCTTGTGTTCTGTCTGACTGTTGATCCTTGATCCCTTCCCCATCATGACACAGCCTATGTTTTAGCCACCAAACTAAAAATTATATGCATAATTTTACAGAATGCGCATTTTTAGAAAATGCATATAGCATAAATATAATTTTCCCTTTGGCCCAGAAATTCTACATCCCTAAATATAAATATATAATAATGCTGTAAAACCAGGAGAAATATTTATATGATAAGATATTTATTTCCACATTCTTTAGAACTGAAAAAAAGTGGAAATCATTAAATGCATGATAACTAGGCAATAAATAACCTAAGTAGCATATATCTATGTTAGAGGATATTATAGTGCCTTTAAATTGAACTTTATAAAAAATTTAGAATTTGTGAACATGGGGAAAAGCTTCTCACATCAAGAAAAGGAAGCAAAATATAATAATAATGCAAGAGGATTTCAACTGAGTAAATACTCAAACTACAAATAAAGTAGGCAGGCGAGGTGCAGTGGTTCACACCTGTAATCCCAGCAGTTTGGGAGGCCAAGGCAGGAGGACTGCTTGAGCCCAGGAGCTTGAGACTAGCCTGAACAATACAGTGAGTCCTCATCTCTAAAAAAAAATTTTAAAGATTAGTCAGGAGTGGTGGTGTGCCCCTGTAGCTCCAGCTACTTGGGAGGCTGAGGCAGGAGGATCACTTCAGCCCCAGGAAGCAGAGGTTATCATGAGTCTGTGATTGTACCACTGCACTCCAAAAGAAAAGACCCTGTCTCAGAAAACAAAAAGTACATAATATAAATGAGGGATGAAAATAAAAGCAAAAATGTAAATATTTTGTTTTACTTTTAATACTAAATGCATTTGTCTTCATATTTTTGTGTATTTTTATTCTATTGCCACAATAGGTATATGCTGATTTCACAGACAGAAAAAAAGTCTAAGTTATTGTGAAAATAAAGTATTGCCATTATTTATGGATAGTTTTATTGTGAGATGAGATAACTTGAACAGTATCCAAAAAAAAAGAAAAAGAAATATATTTCTTCACAGGTTGTCCGGCCACAAAGCCAGTCAAATGATTGGAATTTGACAGCCTCATTTATAAAGTGAGGCTGTATAACCAGATCTGCCCATGGGTCTACCCCCACTAGATTCATGGTCTACAGAGGTCCTAGGGGAAAAACGCACAGATAAGGGTGAGGATGTTTTACAGACATTCATTATTAAACAATGATCCACACTGTGCCAAAGCAGTCTTACTTTTTTTTTTTTTTTTTATGTGGGGTAAAAGGGCATGTTTTATTGCCCCTAAAATTTCTCTCTGGCCTAAAGATGTTGAACAGATGCAGAGCAGAGGGAGTCTCCCTTGAGTGGGCTTCTTCAGCAAGTGGTGTGGAAAATGAGTGAGCTTTCAAGTGAAACTGGTAATTTGAAAGAATGTCGGATGTCTCTTAATCTGCTTCCTAAAATTTTAAGTAAAATAAGCATCACTCTTCTTATGGGGCTGCTTTGAAGAATAATATGGATGACATCTGTGAAATACCTTTAAAGCATGGTTTGCAATGGAATCAAAACTTTGCCAACTAGTGGCAAGCATTCTGCTCTTTCTGTTTCCATTGGAGGAAAGGATTATGCAATATGCAATTTGAGAACACAAATGAGCTAAAATAGTAAACAAGGAATAAGGGTGAAAGGTGGCAAATCATAACATTAAGAGAAAACAAGTAAGCAAAAACAACAATAATAAAAACAGTCACTTCCAATTACTGTTTACTGACGCAAAGTGATTTCTAGTTACCAATCATAATTTAACTTGCTGTCAAAAGATTAGAAAGACCCCATAATAACTAATATGGTTTCCCTCTTGTTATGAACCCAATGTTGACAGAAAGCCTCTTGAGTACTATGAGGCAGGCACAAAGATATTCGTTTCAGAATTGCTTTAGTAGTGAAACTCTGGAAACTAAATGCCTATCAAAAGAGGAATAGAAAAAATATAATTGCTATATTACTGTATTGACAGCTACATGGTGGGCAAAAGCCATGGGTTAGGCCTCTAGAGCAAGGGGTAGATGTGAACCTCTATGTCATATATGAATAAAAATATTCGCTATCTCCAGAAATTATGTTTATCTCAGAAACAACACACATGAAAGAATTCAAGGGCTGTAAGACCTTTGCACTCTCTGGGAATTTGAAAGGTAGTAATTAGTAATAATATATAATATGTATGAGATATAGGTAACAACATCATTACCACCAATCACGACAATAACAGTAACAATAATGATAATAAAATAATATATAACTAACAATCTAAGGAGTGTAAGAAAATAAAAGTAATAGGTAAATCTAAAGAAGGGCAGAAAAGAGAAAATAAATAAAAACAAAAAAATTTGGAACAAATAAAAACATATAATTGAAGTACTTTGAACACAAATGTTGTAAATCCAAGCTTTTCCGGTGGGCGCAGCAGCTCACGCCTGTAATCCCAGCACTTTGGGAGGCCAAGGCGGGCGAATCACAACGTCATGAGTTCGAGACCAGCCTGGCCAAAATGGTGAAACCCCATCTCTACTAAAAATACAAAAATTAGCTGGGCATGGTGGCACATGCCCGTAATCCCAGCTACTCAGGAGGCTGAGGCAGGAGAACTGCTTGAGCCTGGGAGGCAGAGGTTGCAGTGAGCCAAGATTGTGCCACTGCACTCCAGCCTTGCAGACAGAGTGAGACTCTGTCTCAAAAATAATAATAATAATTTTTAAAAATTAAATAAACAAATAAATAAATAAATCCAAGCCTTTCCAACCCGAGGCCCACAGGCCACATGCGGCCCAAGATGGTTTTGAATGTGTCCCAAGAGAAATTCATAAATTTTCTTAAAACATTATGTTTCTTTTTTTTGTAATTTCTTTTAGCTATTGTTAGTGTTAGTGTATTTTATGTGTGGCCCAAGACAATTGTTCTTCCATTGTGGCCCAGGGAAGCCAGAAGGTTGGACACTCCTGAATTATACCAAATACTTGTAATTTCTCCAGTTAAAAGACAATGAATGGCAGTCTAGATTCTAGATAAATAAACAACATAATGACATATTGTTTATAAGAAACAAAATTTAAGTATAATAACAAAAAGTTTTTAGATTTAGATATGCAATGCAGAGATTAACATAAAATTACACAAATGTGCTAATATTAGAAAAGTTATCCTTTAAGGCAACACATATTGCAGGATGTACAGAGAGGCATTTCATGATGTTAAAAGAACAAATCTATCAGACAGATATAATAATCTAAAAATTTATTTGCTCATAATTTAAAATATAGGAAAGAAACCTTCACTGA
Organism: Homo sapiens; assembly: GCF_000001405.40. Classification (NCBI taxonomy): domain Eukaryota; kingdom Metazoa; phylum Chordata; class Mammalia; order Primates; family Hominidae; genus Homo; species Homo sapiens. The sequence goes on from NC_000016.10 coordinate 63,541,649, forward strand.
CCTAAAAGGAAAAATAGAAAAATTCATACTCTTAGAAAAATAAGTTAACATATCTCTATAAATATTTGATGAATTAAAAAGACAAAAAAAATTTAAGATCATAAAATAGTAGCACAATAATTAATGCAGTTTACATAACTGACATATATATTTTGTATTTTATTTATTTATGTTTTAGAGATGGTGTCTTACCCTGTCACCCAGGCTGGAGTGCAGTGGCACAATCATGGCTCATTGCAGTCTTGAACACCTGGGCTTAAGTGATTCTCCCCACTTGGCCTCCTGATAGCTACGACTACAGGTGCTAGTCATTATTCCCAGCTATACCTGATATATATAGAACATTGCAAAGAATAACTGCAAATGCATATCCTTATCTACTGTATTTAGAAATATTATGAAAACTGGCTATATGCTAGACCATAAGCTAAGGCCGAACACATTTTAAAAGTCTAAAATTATGCGTAGTTTAACATCCTAACACAATATAATTAAGTTAAAATCAGTGATAGAAATATACCTAGAAAATTCCCCAATATTGAAGATTAAGCAAGAACATTCTGAAGGACGCATGGATCACAAAAAAAAGTCACGATAAAAATCAGAATGACTGCTAGATATATTAAGAGGAATGAAATAAAAATCAGAGCAGGAACAAATGAAGTAGAGACTATGTATCTAAAAGGAAAACTCTGGGAAAACAAAATTGGATGGCTATTGGTTGTGAAAGAAAGAAAAGACAAAAATTACCAGCATCAGGAATGGGAACATCAATAAAATCCTAAAGACATTTAAAACCTATAAAAATTTTTATGGCTAATATGATACTTTATTTGAAAAACATCAATGCCAAACTGACACAAGAAGCAGAAAATCTGAAGAGACTATATTTAGTAAGCTAATATAATATTTAAGTCAGACTTTTCCTACTAATAAAATTCCAGATCCAGATGGCATTACTTATGAGTTACTCAAATAGTTAAAATATAAATAGCACCAGTCTTAAACAAAATTATACAGTGTGTAGCATATATGTATTGATTCAAATACCAGAGTCGTTGGAAGAATAAAAATTTCCAAGTCAATGTCTCATATGCACATAATTGGATATATCTTGATAAAACATTAAAAATGAACACTGTATTATCTAAACAAGATGATATACAATATGGCAGTAGGGATTGTTTCCATTTGAATTTCAGTCAATGCAATTTACCACATACCAAAAATGTGCTTAGTTCAAACCATTTGAAAAAGCATTTCATGAAATTCACCACCCATTTATGAATAAGCTCCACATGAACTGGAAATAAGAGGAAAATTAATCTGATAAAGAGATGCTACAAGCACCAAACACTTTACAGATAACATTGTACTTAATGGTAAATTATTGAAAATTTTCCCAGAGACTGGGAAATAGAAAAAGGATTCCATTACTGCTACTTTATAAAAAAAAATGTTATCAGATAATCTAACCAATATAATAAAACATGAAAAAAATATGTATATGTCTATTTCTATCTATCTCTATTGACAGATAAAAATAGACAGAGATGGGAAAGACAGAAATTAAGAACTCCATTATTTACACAATTAGGTATTCCATTTCCATGCACTAGCAACAAGCTATCAGAATATGAAATGGAAAAAGAAAGGGTAACTGTTGCAATAGTATCAACGTAACATCAAACACTCAAGGAAAATGTAATTTTTAAGATATGCAATACCTTTACAAAGCGAAAGAGAAAGACAGAACAAAGAAGACTAAAATAAAGTAATAAATATATAATAGGCTAGAATAATCTATTTTTAAAAGACGTAATTCTCAACAAGGATTTTTATGTTTTGTTTTGTCTTTTTTGTTTGTTGTGCATCCACTAGTTGTTTTACATTTTATATGCAAATGAAATGAGTAACAACCAAGATCCTTATAAAGCACGTTGCTGGATAACTTAAACTATCAAATATCAAGACAATATAAAGACATACTAATTAAGGCAGTAGTGTAACATGGTCTAAAGTTAAACATAGAGCATAGACACATCAGAAGCACACCCACATGTGTACAGTAAAATGATTCACAACAAATGTATCACTTCAGAGCATTAGAAATATGGATGTCCTTTCAATAAATAGTAAACATGCACTTGTGTATTTGTATTAGACAAAATGAATTTATTAAATTTATACTCCTACCACATGTCATAAACAAAATAAATACCAGATGGTTTATAGATCTAAATGTGAAAAGTGGAGCAATAAGGATTCTAGAAGGCAACATATAGAATAATTAACTCACTACTTGGGATGGGCAAAAACTGCTAACACATAGTGAATTTTATGGTGCTAACCATAAAAGGAAAGTGAACTACATTAAAAATAAAAATTTCAGCTTGTATCAAAAGATGCCTTTAAGGAATGAGAATGGGAGCCACCAAGTAAGAAAAGACATTTGCAAAGCATATATTTGGCAAAGGTCTCCTATCTAGAATATATATACTCATACATATATGAAACTCTCACCAATAAAAAACATAAATGCAAAGCAGTTGGAAAAGGACAAAGAAAAAGAAGGAGGGAGAAGGGAGGGAAGACATTGGTAAGTTCTTGAGTGCCATTTTACAAAAATTGTATAACTACATGTTCAACAAATAGGTGAAAAGTTTCTCAATGTCACTGATCTACAGAGAAATTGAAATTAAAAATACAATAAATTTACATGACTAAACCACTTGCATGACTAAAATTAATATAATTCTAAGCATGTGAGGATATGGAGCAATTTCAACTTTCATCTTGGAATAACGACTTTAGAAATGTGTTTGAGATTATCTTTTAAAATCAGACATATGAGATCTAGCAACACGACTTACATTTAGAAGCTAGAGAAATACTTAAGTACCACAAAGGCATATACAAAAATATTTATAGCAACGATATTCATAATAGTCCCAAATTTAAAAGTGTTTATCAAGAATATAAAATAGATAAATAAATGGTGACATATACATATAATATATACAGCTATGAGAATGCAGAATCTAATATTATATGCAATTATAAATATAAATCTCATGAATATAAGGTTGTGTGAAAGAGACTAAACACAAAAGAGCAAACCCTGTATCATGTGATTCAGGCAGGCTCCTTGAGTTCTGTTATGTTCATGGTTTTGGTAACATGTGTTTCTGTTGTGTTTCCTTTTTGTAATAAATTAGCAAGCTGTATACTAAGGCTTCTGTGTTTTATTTTATGTAATATTTCAAATAGTTTACCTAAAAAGTGAAACCACATGTAGTACAAAATATGTGGATCAAATTTAAGAAGATGTATAAACAAATGTTTAAAATGTTTTGAAGAGTCACATACCATTTGAAAGGTCAAGTGTTGCCTCCAGTGATAATTTGGCTAGAAAATATGTTAAGACTTTTGATGCTTTAAGTTGCAGTAATATGAACAGTTTGCATGCAATAATTTGGGGTTGATATGTTAGCTGAGAGACTAAAATCCTAAGAATATGATCAATACATCTTGAATCTGTGATGAAGGTAGTCTACTTAATATTTTTGAGCAATTTTCTCATTTATACGATATTACTAATGTTTCAAAATTTATGGAGCTATAATAAGCAAAAGGAGAAGTTATGAGTTTAGGATCCTATATGTTAGGCAGCACTGGGATCATTATTGTTGTTCTCAATGAAAATGTTTTTCAAAGGTAACCTTGAGTTTTCTTTCCAAAACTGACATGTGGCATTTTGAATCTCTTTGACAATAGCCAGTCATCAAAAATATGAGAACGGCTCTTTTTTTTTTTTTTTGTAATAGCTAAGGACAGTGAATTGTTGTGAACTGGTACTTGGACCACTATGTAATATATTTTAGTTACTCATTAATAAGTTAATTAAACAATGTGTAAAACAAAACTAAAACAAAATGAGAATATATTTCTGATTGTGGTTCTAACCTGACTCTGAATTCCAAGACATTTAATAATTTCTTGAAACCCAAGATGAATTCCAGAAAGTATTTGTGTCTCTTTGATTGACTATTTAGGATAGATATGTATTGATATATTTGGCATATTGACATACAAAATACACTGCTATATAGTTTGGATATAGTATATTGTATCTGAAATTTCACACATTTTGACATTAAATAATAACTGAATTGTCATTTCTTCCTTTTCTAGATTTGTGATTTCGTTTAAGTTCCTTAAATACTCTGATGCTCAGCTTTACAACTCTAAAATGATTCTATTAACAAATAATTTGCAGAATTTGTGTAGGTCCATAAACTAATCTGTAGTTATATAAAGTAGAGATGGGTTTAACTCTGATTGCTGAAATTGACTAAGTAATATTTTAATCCCTTCAATCATCATCATGTGATGAAAGTAAAGCTCCACTCCAAAATCATTCAATGAAACTTACATTATTATATTCTTATTTATATTTGGATATTCTTACATATTTTCTTATAAGTTATTGTTAGGTTGGTGCAGAAGTAATTGAGGCTTTTGTCATTACTTTTACTGGCAAAAACCTCAATTACTTTTTCATCAACCTACCTTTCAATGTACTTTTCAATGGTACAAAAAAATTGGTCAGGCTAGCAAAATGGAGGATTATTAACAGCAACAACAACAAAAAAATACAATAAGGGAGCTGAAGATACCCTTGTTTATTTTTAGTCTAAACTGCTCATCTTATAAATGAAAAAGCTGAGGCCTAATGCCACCCAGTGATCAGGATGGCAGATGATTCAATTTGATGATGTTGAAGAGAAGTCGAGACTTTTTTTTGTATCATTAATGAATTATCCTTGATTTTATTGTATTCAAACATTTTTAATAGATCTGAAAGAACTCTATTTATCAGGGTGGTACAATGGAAAAATACATGATGAATTTTATTCTCTGTATAATAGTCATCCGTATTTGGATTTTATGGAAGTATTTATTTATTTATGTAAACATTATTTTTTAGAGAAGTTTTAATTTCACAGAATAGTTGAGTGGAAAACAGAGTTCCCATATGTGTCCTCACCCTACATGTGCAACCTCCCCACCATCAACATCATGCCCCAGAGAGTACAGTTGTTGGAACTGATGACCCAACATCACCACATCATCATCCTGAAGTCCTTAGTTTATATTATGGTTTACTCTGTGTTGTACATTCCATGGGTTAGAGAAATATACAGTTACATGCATCCACCATCCCTAGTATCATACAGAACACTTTTGCTGACCTAAGTGTCTCCTGTGCTCCACCTATGCATCCCTCCCACTCTACAAATTACTGATAACCATTACTATTTTTACTGTCTCCATAGTTTTGCCTTTTCCAGAATATCATAGAGTTGGAATCATATAGTACGATAGGCTTTTAGATTGGCATTTTTCACTTAATGATACGCATTTAATTTTCTTCTATGTCTTTTTACAACTTAATAGCTCATTTATTTATAGTCCCGAATAATATTTCATTGTCTGGAATGTACCACAATTTACTTATCCATTTGTCTATTGAAGGAAATATTTGTTTCTTACAGGTTTTGGCGATTAAGAACAAAGCTGCTACAAACATCTATACACAAGTTATTGTGTGGACATAAGATTTCAGTTCCTTTGGATAAATACCAAGGAGCATCACTGCTGGATCATATAGCAAGAGTATCTTTTGTTTTATTAATAAAACTCCCAAACTGTCTTCCAAAATGGCATATTTAACAGCAATGAATAAGAATTTCTATTGCTCCACATTTTCACTAGCAGTCGGTGTTTGCGGTGCTTTGGATTTTAGCCATTTTAATAGGTGTGTAGTGATATCTAACTGCTGTTTTATTTTAATTTATTTTTATTTTTTTGAGATGGAGTCTTGCTCTGTCGCCCAGGCTGGAGTGCAGTAGGGCGATCTCAGCTCACTGCAAGCTCTGCCTCCCAGGTTCACGCCATTCTCCTGCCTCAGCCTCCCAGTAGCTGGGACTACAGGCGCCCACAACCACGCCTGGCTTTTTTTTTTTTTTGTATTTTTAGTAGAGACGGGGTTTCACCGTGTTAGCCAAGATGGTCTCGATCTCCTGACCTCAGGATCTGCCCTCCTCAGCCTCCCAAAGTGCTGGGATTACAGGCTTGAGCCATCGTGCCCGGCCCCTAACTGGTGTTTTAATTTCAAAATCTCTAAAGATGTATGATGTTAAGCATCTTTTCACATGTTTCTCTGCTACCTGTATATCTTCTATAGCAAGGTGTTTGTTCATATATTTTTCCCATTTTAAAATCAGATTATTTTCTTATTGTTTAGTTTCAAGAGTTTGTACATACATTTTGGATAATAGTTCTTTATAAGATAGATCTTTTGCAAATATTTTCTCCCATTCTGTGGCATGTTCCTTTTCTTTTGACAGTGTCATTCGGTTTGCTTTTAAAAAAAAAATGTAATAACGTTCAATTTATCAATTATTTTTTCCATGGATAATGCCTTTGGTGATGTATCTAAAAACACATTGACAAACCAAATATCATCTGGATCTTCTCCCACATTGTCTTCTAGGTGTTTCATTGTTTTGCATTTTACATTTAGTTCTATGATGCATTTTGGGTGCTTTACTTATTTTTTGGTCTGAGTTTTTTCAAAGGATGAGTCTCGATGTCAAAAACCTCCACCACTCTGTAAAGTTATTAGGAATATTCACCAGTGACAATTAGGAAGGAAGTAATTTCTTTCACTCATTGAATATCCAAATGGAATCTGGTAACATACTGAATCATATGGGAGAAGAGTCAGAAATCTTAGAATACATCATCTGGAAAGAGAGCTGGCAAACTGTTCCTCTTTGATGGAAATGCATTTAATGCATCATTAACAGGTATTATAGAAGGCAGATACAAATGAATGTCTTTATCAAATAAGCTTTGAAAAATGTTAACTAATATGCAACATATGCCTTTACCTTCAGGATTTTTAAACCCTTTAATTTATTAATGATTCTTGTAATTTTTCAAATGGGCATTACCCAGAGTTTCCCCAAACTCATTTTACTGAATAAATACTACTTTTTCTTAATAAGTTAGTGTTTTGAGTAGAAAACAACTTTATTTAACAGACAAGGAAATAAGCTCAAGATAAAACATTCAGCATTAAGCCAAAAGTCATCTAGCTAGTTATGGGAACATCGGGGTTGGCACAAACTGGATGAGTAAAAATCAGTGTCAATTTTATTTCTATATCTTTCTCTTTTAAAAAATAGACTCATTAAATAAGTGATCACAGAGCATACATTGGGATGTACTAGGAATGGAGGAATGATATCATAATGCTCATACCTTGAAATTGAGCCCTAATGTGCTAATAGAAATAATTTCTATCATAATATAAGTGATTCTTTTAAGACTGACTGAGTGGCTGTTCTAATTTTGGGGAGTTTATGTTTTCATGCATACATTGCTAACTCTAGCCTTTTATAATTGGTACAGTATCAAGACAGTGTTGCCTATGTTGTTTGGGGTCTTTCTTGACTTGCCCCAGTGTTCTCACCTACAATAAGTATATTTAGACTGCTCTATTTTCCTGCTGACTTTGTATTCAGATACTATTTTTGTGATTATCAATTCTGCAGTCATAGGAAAATGTATCCGTTAGTTGTGACTTTATTTTCTACCTTAAAAACACCATTAATTAAATTATTCTCCAATCTCATTTGACTCCTTCCAGAGTCAAATAAATGCAAAGCATAGGGACATGTATTCTTCACAGGAACCAAAAAGAGTTGACATGGTAGCCCTTAGTGAGAATTCTGAGCAAGGATTAGCACTGTGAAAGAGCTTGTCCATCCGTCAGAACAAAAGCTAAATTGAATTCAGCTTGAGGATAACACATGAATTTTCAAAGCAAAGCATTCATTCAAAGTATCTATGTAACAGTACAGGTAGTGCAGTGTTTATTATTAAATGCCACACCACCAAAAGAAAACATCTTAGTATTTTGATGTCCTAGAGATTGATAATTGAACTTTAGTAATATGGCTCTGTCTAATAATCTATCCAGGTATAAAACAATAAAACTGGTTATATTTATACAGTTTATTTGTGCAGTGTCCATCTGCGAAGGCTTTCTATGTGTACCACAAAACAGAATAAAGACATTTTGAAAATATGCAGAAAATTTCCTTAGCAAAACCTTATATTAATTAAGTGAGCAAAGTCTTAAAGCATTTGATATAACAAATTTTGAGCTTTTATAGCAAAAACAAGTAAACAAATTAACAAAAACTCTTGAACATCCCACTGGACATGCTCACATGAAGGTGGACAACCACTTCATTCAAAAGGATGATGCTATCCTGATTAATATTGAGAGAAGACCAAGAGCTCACAAAGGCAGGTAGGTAATTGGTATGAATCTCGGTTCTTTTATTTACCAGTCATTTGGCCATGGGCAATGTAAGTGACTCATATCATCTCAGTTTCCTCATTTGGCAAATGGTTACAATGACAATTATATTGTCCTGTGTATTAAAAAGTGAATAATATAATATAACTAATATAGTACTTAGGATTCAATAGATGTACAGGAAATGATTTCCTCTTTTCATTTCACAGAAAAAGTACTCATTTACAAAATGCGCAAGTTATTGTATAGTTCGGTGCTAGAGAAAGGAAGGAAAGCCACTTGCCCTTATCTCACTAATTTACTGAAACGAGGCTATATTGTGCAATAAAATAAGATATTGTGAATCCCTGAAGTAAAGGAAATTGAACTAGATCCAATTTATATCACAATTCAATAGTTACAACACTTGTGTTTCCTTAAATATTTCTTCTAAATGGCAGCTAGGTGATATGTAAAATACTTGGCTTTTTAAATATAATTTAAATTTTATTTGGCAGTTTGTAATACTATTAAGGCCCTTTTACTTCTGAAAAGGATAGAGTGAAAATCTGACTTACACAATAGAAATCAGCAAATGGTTTGAGTAGAAACTTCACAAAAGAAATTGAAATGGTCAAAAAGGAAAGATGTTTAATATATTAAGCCATCAGAAAAAAAATGTAAATTAACATCACAATAAGATTTAGCTACTGTATTGTTATATATACTATTGTAAAAAGAATACAATTTTAAAAATTCACAACACCAATTATTAGGAAAGATGTGTGGAAAAACTAGACCATAAATGCATTGCTGGTGGAACGCAAAATGATACAACAAACATCTAGACCTTTATCCACTAGACTATATACTTATCCTATAACCCAGAATTTCACGTTTAGGTATTTATACAAGATAAATTCAGCTCGAGCATAACACATGCATTTTCAAAGCAAAGCATTCATTCAAAGTATCTATCTAACAGTACAGGTAGTGCAGTGTTTATTATTAAATGCCACACCAAGAAAAGAAAACACCTTAATATTTTGAGGTCCTAGATACTGATAATTGAACTTTAGTAATATGGCTCTGTCTAATGATCTATCCAGGTATAAAACAATAAATAGGCCGGGCGTGGTGGCTCACGCCTGTAATCCCAGCACTTTGGGAGGCCAAGGCGGGCGGATCACAAGGTCAGGAGATTGAGACCATCCTGGCTAACACATGAAACCCCGCCTCTACTTAAAATAGGAAAAGAAAAGTTAGCCATGCATGGTGGCAGGCACCTGTAGTCCCAGCTACTAAGGAGGCTGAGGCAGGAGAATGGCGTGAACCTGGGAGGTGGAACTTGCAATGAGCCGAGATAGCACCACTGCACTCCAGCCTGGGTGACAGAGTGAGACTCCATCTCAAAAACTAAATAAATAAATAAATAAATAAAACTGGTTATATTTATACAGTTTATTTGTGCAGTGTCCATCTGCAAAGGCTTTCTATGTGTACCACAAAACGGAATAAAGACATTTTGAAAATATGCAGAAAATTTCCTTAGCAAAACCTTATAGTCATTAAGTGAAACCTTAAGTTAATTCATTAAGTGAAAACCTTATATTCAATAATTAATTATTTATACAAGATAAATAATTACATGTGTCCTCACAAATTTTTCTGAGTGTTCACAGCAGAATGGAAATCAACAGGAAAATGACCATGTGAACTGTGGTAAATCTTAACAATAGAATAGTACTCAAAAAGAAAAAGTAACAAACAACTAAAAGGGAATGTATTAATCCATTCTCATTATGCTATGAAGAAATACCTGAGACTGGGTAATTTACAAAGAAAAATAGGTTTAAGGGACTCATAGTTCTACATGGCTAGGGAGGCCTCACAATCATGGCAGAAGGTGAGGGAGGAGCAAAGGCACATCTCACATGGCAGCAGGCAAGAGAACATGTGCAGGGGAACTCCCATTTATAAAACCATCAGATCTCGTGACACTTAATCACTATCACGAAAACAGCATGGAAAGACCCACTCCATGATTCAATTATCCCACTGAGTCCTTTCCATGACATGTGGGGATGATGGGAGCTACAATTCAAGATGAGATTTGGGTGGGGACACAGCCAAACCGTATCAGATAGTTAGCGGAGAAAGAATTGGATAAGTAGAAAAGACCTTTTAATCTATGGTCAATAATATACATTTATTCTTGACTCAGTGGAAATCCATGGAATGTGTTAAGTCCAAAAGTAACATAAAACTTTGCAGGGACATGGATGAAGCTGGAAACCATCATTCTCAGCAAACTAACACAGGAACAGAAAACCAAACTCTGCATGTTCTCACTCATAAGTGAGAGTTGAACGAGAACATATGGGCACAGGGAGAGGAACATCACACACTGAGGCCTGTTGTCGTGTGGGGGGCAAGGGGAGGGATAGCATTAGGAGAAATACCTAATGTAGATGACGATTTGATGGGTGCAGCAAACCACCGTGGTACATGTATACCTATGTAACAAACCTGCACATTCTGCATATGTATCCCAGAACTTAAAGTATAATAAAACAAATTTTAAATGAAAAAAAGTATCCTCTTTAAAACAAAGTAATTTTACTCTGGGTCGAAAATGGATTATTGAAGATATAGCTGGGGGTTAAAAAAGTGAAGAGACAGTAAAGAACTTATTACAGCTATTTTACTGAGATAAAATGCATGACTTTGATGGTAACATGTAGTGACAGGAACAGATCTTGAATATACAAACACATTTATATATTTATATATATATGTAGATAGACATAGTTATTGCTATTGGTAGAAATGTAGATATATAGATATAGGTATGTGATGTGGATGTGAATGTTTATATGAATACAAATATAGATTTGTAGAACTGACAAACTTTTCTGATTGATTGAATGTAGAAAAAGAGAAGGTAAAATGAGATATGACTAACAGATTTCTGTCTTGAGGATTTGAGGAATGTGGTTCAACTTAAAAATTGTGTAACACTGGGAAAAGAAGAGAAAAATTAAGAATTTTGTCATCTTAGGACTACAGCAACACTAAGCACACAAGAACAATATAATGCCAAAGCCTGAAGCTATCTCGGAGCAGCAACAAGGAAAAATTGAATCTATTGCAGGTGTCTCAGGAGTGGTAACTCTAACAATTTCTATAAAGATGACAATGGATGCATGTGTAATTTGGGTCCCACTTCAATGATAACAATTGATCAATTAAATTAAGTATACAGATGAGCAGTATAAAAACTTTCTTTTATGTGCTGTCAAGTGTCAAATTGGCCTGATACATAGTAAAAACAAATCCCTTTAAGACATAGACTTCTAGAAATACCAGTGCAATAGGACATTACTTCTCTACTAATCTGTGTAAAAACAAAACATGCATAGCTAGATACCTACAAGAATATTTGCTCTACCATAATATAAAAATAAATTTAGACTGGTACATTTTTCTCTAACTGGAGAAATTCCAGATATCCATACAAATTTCTGGAATCTCTGCATAGTCACAAGTCCAAACTGAGCAACATTAAGGAATATTTTTCATGATTTTCAATTTTTATGTAAAGATGGAAACATTTACTCTCTGATTACTTGATGAAAATTTCAAACCTATTCGAGAGGTATTGGAATTAGGTGGTTATGAAATCCCTGGTATAATTTGCCATGAGTTCAGTAAGTTAGGAACATCTACCTTACAGTTGAGGTACATAAAGATCTGAATGAAGGAACGTTAGCAGAGAAGACAGCAGAAGACATTATGAACCACAGGCTCTGAAATCTAGATCTGAACTTTACAGCCACGTAACAAGTGCAAGTTGTTTCACAATCTTATCCCTCATTTTCATCATTTATAAAATGAAAATAGCAAGTTTACACTCTGTGGGGTATTATAAACATTGAATATATTATCAGTCTGAAAATTGCTTTGGATAGAAAACAATGAATTATATTAGTTTCTCTATTTATTAATTTATTCAACAAACACAGGTCAGGTCAGTACTACATGAGAGCCATATTCTATGATGATGATGGAGAAACAAAAGTCCCTATCCATGAAGATAGTGTATTCAAATAGGAAAAAGAGCCAATCACCAGCAATTAATTCATTAATTGATTAACTCAGCAAAAATATAATGGAGACAGAAAAAGGATTGTGAAATAAGGACTTTCAAAAGTGAACGGGATAATTTAGAAAAGCTGGTCAAGATTGTCCTCTGCAAACAAAACCTGAGTAAAATGAAGGACTGAGCCATGCAAAGGTCCAGGGAAGACTACACCAGGTGAAGAGAAGAGCTAAAGCAAAAGTCTTGAAATAGAAACCATGCTGGTGTCCTCAAGGACAGGTAGCCCTTTAGATATATGTGTGAAAAGAGATTATAGGGGATCAGAAGGACAGCAAGGAGATGTTAGTTTGTAATTGCAGTCATTGAGGGTAGACATGATGAAGGAAGTGAGTCAGAGTTGATCAACTGAGATTTGGACTTAGCCAAATTGCAAGTCATTTAATATTATGAAGACTAGAAAGCTAAAATCACAACGCAATATTCAGGGTTAAATTCGGTAGCATCTAAAAATGTCTAGGAATTAAAACATGTAATACCCATTAAATGCTGTTATATAAAAACTAAATGCATAATTCTCCACAGTGCTCTGTAATTTAAAACAATAGTTGATTAGATAATGAATATATGTTAATTATAAAATAACTAAAAGAAATATAAGAAAAAACAATTACAAGTCTACCTCCCAAATACAACCACTATTGATAAAGATAGGTAGATCGGTGGATTGATAGATAATCTGTAGATAGAAATATACCTTAACACTTTCAGGCATTTTTTTTGAGCCAAATAGAAATAGACCCTAACACTCACAGGCATTTGCTGTGAGCAAAACATTTTATAAATGTTTAAAAGTGGAATACTAGTATCCACCCCATCAGTACATTCATCCATATATCCTCCTAGCCATCCACATTTCTAATTTAATGTATACGTTAATTAACAACACAATTTTTATTGTTAGTATATCCAAAGACAGAATTTTTGAAGAATCCAGATAACTTAACACTTCATAACTCCCATAGTCCTCTTTCTTTAACATATGTGGAAATCAATAAGTGCTTTAAAGGACAGGATGACCTTAATGAAGACATTGAGTAACTGAAAAATAGAGACAACTTTAACTGTATTAGAAGGTCCAAAAAAAATTTCTCAGAGCCATTTTTTTTCTTGCTACCCTTGACTTGATCTGAGAAATTCACTGTAACATGAAAATTTAAAAAACCCTCCAGACCTTGAGGGAGGAATTTCATCAAATGCTTCTGTTCGAGTAATAGCACATACAAATAGAATACATGCATCTGTAAAATATTAAATATCAATGCAATGTATAGTTATTCCAAAGTCATTCATTTTACATAAGATGTTAGGTCTTGATTCTCCTTCCAATTTAACTTTGCTAGTCTGCTCCTGAGAGAATTTTTTCTTTTCAAATAACAGCTATGTATGTGGATATAACAGCAGTGCAGATTTTAGCTTCACACTACATGCATTACTCAAGCCAGGCTCACAATAAGTTAGAAAGAGAACAATATATATACAGTCAATTTTTGGTGTTTTAGTTAAGTATTCATTTTTTGTATTTGTTAGGTGTATGTGTGACTACTCCTTATAAAGAATGAGAGACAAAAACCGCAAGTTTTGGAAAGCCTAATTAAGGCAAAGTAAACACAGAGCATGAAAAGCCAGAGTTAACCAAACCCAATTCTCTGCTGTACAGTAAGGAATGGACGCTTACTCACTGGAGAGTTTTGAGGATTGGTTTTAAATCCTAGTTTCATTTTGTGACATTTGACAACTTACTTATACTCAGAAAATGAAAGTTTCTTAACTTGTAACATGAAAACATGAAAGAAGCAATTAGCTCTAAGACTCTGAGATATATATATATATATATATATACACACACATATATATATATGTGATAAACAGTGCCAATTTACTTAGAGTGACACATTAGAGAAATGAAAGCATCAATAAATTCAAACACAGGCAAGGCATCCTGAAGGAGGTGAAAGGAGTTATGACCTTACAGAAGATTAGGAGTCAACTTGCTCAATACAAAGATTGGTTGGAGGAGGAGGCATTCTAGGACAGAACAAAGAAATGAAGATACCAGAATCCAATAATGCATTATGATATGCCATTAGTTTAATAGTGTTATACAGAGAGCTCAGGTTTCTAGAGAGATTGCAGTTGTAAGTAGGCACTTTGCTTAGAATAGTGCCTGGCCCAGAGTGAACACAAAATTAGATATATTAGGTTAATTAGACACGGTTATGCAGCTATGTCCTATAAATGCCAAAACTAGATGATAGGATGATCTTATTTACCTTGAAGTTTGCTTGCCTTTAATAATAATCTCTGGCCAGATATTAGAGTCCCAACATTTAAAAATTAATGGGACAAAATCTTTACACCATGTTTCTATTATTAATATGCTTAGAGTTCTTGGCAAGGTGTCTTAATGTCTGTAGGTTCTAAGTGATGAGTAACTCTAGCCTTACATTGCTTCTTTTGGTCAGACATGTATCCCCTACTCTCTGTGAATTTAAATTACCCTCTGTTGGACTACATAAAACAATTATTCCCAAGTTAAATTAAATCCCTCCAACAATTTTTTATTCAGTTTTCTTATCTTTATCAAGATTTCTTTTTCTTTCATCTTCTTTTTGACAGTAACAAAGGCAAGAGTTTGAACGGAGAAACAGGGTCCCTTAACAGTATTTCCACTAAAGTTTGCTTATTTACAGAGATATGTTTCTGGTGCTATATATTTAACCTGAAGCCAAGTTACTATGTGTTTGTTTGTTTTTCATTGAAAAAAATTCCAAAGAATTAATGAGCATATAAAAACAATAAAATATAATAACATTTGAATAATAACGTTAGAAGTTCTCATTTCCTAAACTGTTTCTTCCACTATATGATGGTGAAATTTCTCAGTAATGAAATGAAGCATATAGTCAATAAGCCAATATTGTTGATTTTAAAGCCTTTAAAGAAGGAACTAGAAAGAGTGACAGACTGGATACTCCTGCCATTTTTAGTGACTTGAATGCCAGTTACAATTTATTCCACAAATATGAGAGTATCGATGCATGCGTTTGTAAAATTTACAAAGATTTAGCATACTGAAAATTGAGATACTTTCACTGAGTCATTCATTCACTAATTTATTAAATGTTTCAGGAGCAGTAAAAGATGAAGCAAGACAACTAGACTTTGACAAAACAGACATTTTCCATTACATGTTTAGATGTTTTGCATTACATGCTCGCACTTTTTATTTTCTTGTAGATATTAAGACAAGGATGATGGAAGAACAAGAAAATGAGCTGGTCATTATTTTGTTTCTCAGTCAGCCCACTCTGAAGGATGGAGAGTGAACTAAGAGAACTGGAAGTGAGGATGGAGAATGAAACTGATAAAATGAAGATAGCTTAACAGATTATTAGACTTGCCTAAGGTGAAATAATGGAGTCTTCAAATAGGGTAGTGACAGAATGGTCAGAATTCAGTGGTGATGTTCAACTCACTTACGTGGTAGAATTTACATAATTTAGAGCTGCAAAATGATAGAGAAAGGGAGAGCAACAAAGGTGGTATAGTCTCTCCCCTTCAAATGCCATATGATATTATTTACAGACCTATGGAACCATATGGTTTTTTTATTCAATGAAACTATGAGAAAGGATTTAGTTGCAGAATGAAATATCTTGGTTATTAATGAAGAATGACTTAAAAATCTTAAAATCTTAGGCTCTGGAAGAAAAATATTTCACTTGCTTATGTAAAAATGAATAAGTTGGGTGGATCAGGAGACAATACCACTAATACCACTACATCTTTGATGAACTTTCTTCTTTAAACTGCAACATAACTTCATTGCAATGCTGGTTTTGTAAATGCAATCACACTTGAATGTGGTTTGAATTTTAAGGAGTGTGTCACCTGGCCTGGTGGTATAAATTCTTCAGGGAATACAAGATGAGAATCTTGATGCAAATTTACAAAACCTGAAAACTTTTAAGAGACAATGGAGAAACCAAAAGGGAATGAAAATCAGAATAGTCCATGACTCTGTCCATTTCAAATGTACGCTTAATTCTCATTCCTTATTCTTGTGTAGATGGTCTCAGATTGTCAAAGAACAAGAATCTACTAGGTGATGGATAGTGTACACACACACACACACAGACAGACACATACACACACACACAAACACAAACACACAAACACCTGCTCCTCAACTTACTATGGGGCTATGGCCTGATAAATTTATCATAAGTTGAAAATATCTTAAGTTTAAAATGCATTTAATACATCCAACCAAACAAACATCATAGCTTAACCTATCCTACCTTAAACGTGCTTGGAATACTCATGTTAACCTGCAGTTGGGTAAAATCATCTAAAGCAAGCTTATTTTATAATAAAGTGTAGAATATTTCATGTGATTTATTGAATACTATATTGAAAATGAAAAACAGAGGGATTGTATGGGTACTAGAAGTAGAGTTTCTACTGAATGTGTATTGCTTTTGCACCATAGTAAATTAGAAAAATTATAAGTCAAACTATAAGTTGAATTGTAAATTAGGGACTGTGTGCTGTGTGTATGTATGTGTGTATATGCATAAACTAATAAACACCTAAATATTATAAAATATATATTTTTTATTTATACATATGCATGTACACGCACACACATACATTCATACACACAAACATATATATTCATCATCTTTGAAGGAATGAGTAAGCCAGCTCCATATCCCCAGTGCAATCAATACAGCCAAGCCCTAAGAATTACAGACTAACACAAGGGCAATTGTATTCTATTTCATTTCTAAGTGTTATGTTCATCTGCAAAGCAGCACCACCACAGGGCCACACCATTGTCACTCTTGGTAAATAGCAAGTAGTTTCATAACTTGTCTCAGCAGTGTCATTTCACAGTTCCTTTTATTGTTACTAACAGAACATCTAAAGGTATAAATTACTCAGTGTATGGAAAACATGCCATTTTAGCTTCCCATCCATACCCTACTCTCTCCCCAAGGACCAAAATGGCCCTATACTTCCATTCCCAGACCAAATGTTTATATACCAGAATCCCATAGGTATGCTCTTTTTAAAAATTTTCTTAGTGACTATTCTCTTTCACCTTGGAGGAAATAATTTATAACCTGTCAATATCACAAAGGCTTAAGAGTCCATCCTTTCAGCTGATTTTTTTTATTTTACAAAACCTTTCTTCATAAGATCTTTATATCAAGGTGTAAAAACTTAAACAGAAACAAAACTTCTTCCAACAATTGTGAAACCTGGATAATAGTTTTGAGCCTTTGCTGAGTTAAATTTGATAGCTCTGAGAAAGTTTGATAGATAAAATTGTTAAAAACATATGTAGGCCTCATCTCACTTAAACTTTATATCTACGTGACGCAGGTGTTATTGTTATTGACATTTTATAAATAAGGGATCTGAGGCTTATAGAGATTAGCATAATGTTGCACGTCCATATGACTAATGTCTAGATTGCAAACCAGGACTGGGTAGCTTCACAGCTCAAAATAAACCAGATATAGACTCAAGTAATACTGAAACAAAGAGCTTTACGGAGAGGCGCTGGCAATGCAGAAAGTACATTAAGAGACTGAGAACAAATTTAATGGTAAACACCAAGGCCGGTCCCTAAATATGTAATGTACTATAGCCTAACTTTGAGAAAATGAGTACAATTAAAATGTCTTTCATTAATTTTGCATGCAAAGGGTGTAAAAAGCTATATGGAGCTGTCATCTGAACTGACGTTTTATATATGGGGCATGTCATATATTAGGGATGAAATTAGCAAGTGTTTGGATGCTCAAATGAATTTGATCATTCACTATATAATTTTCAATATGATCTCTGCTTCAATACCCTATTTTACACTCTTGTAATTGGGGAGAAGGGAAATCACGTAGTTTGAAAAGTGCACTGCATTTGTAGTAAATAAATAAATAAATAAGTACGTAAATTAAAAAATAAAGAAAAACTGTACATTCTATTCAACTTACTATATGGGAGTTTAATCAATTTACTTAAAATTATGTGATCTTTGTGTTTTTGGTCTGTAAACTGAAGATAATACTTACCCTGTCTCTATACTGGTATTGTCCAAAATGAAACTGCCACTTTGAGAACCATAAGATCTCGTGAGAACTCCCTTACTATCAGGAGAATAGCATGGGGAAAGTCATCCCCATGATCCAGTCACTTCCCACCAGACCCATACCCCAACACATGGGGATTACAATTTGAGATGAGATTTGGGTAGGGACACAGAGCCAAACCATATTATTCTGCCCCAGGCCCCTCCAAAATCTCATATCCCCTTCATATTTAAAAAGCAATCATGCTTTTCCAACAGTCCCCCAAAGTCCTAACTCATTTCAGCATTAATTCAAAAGTCCAAGTCCAAAGTCCCATCTGAGACAAAGCAAGTCCCTTCCACCTATGAGCCTGTAAAATCAAAAGCAAGTTAGTTACTGCCAACATACAATGCAGGTAGAGGTATTGGGTAAATGTTCCCATTCCAAATGGAAGAAATTTGCAAAAACAAAAGGGCCACAGCTCCCATGCAAGTCCAAAATCCAGCCAGGAAATCATTAAATCTTAAAGCTCCAAAGTCTCCTTGACTCCATGTCTCACATCTAGGGCACACTGATGCAAGGTCAGGTGCCCACAGCCTTGGGCAGCTCTGGATTGGAGGGCACAGCCCCTGTGGCTGGCTTTGCAGGCTATCACTGAGCACCTGCAGCTTTTCCAGGTGCATGTTGCAAGCTGTAGATGGAACTACCTTTCTGGGATCTGGAGGACAGTGGCCCCCTTCTCATCTAAGAGCTCCACTAGGCAGTGCCCCTGTGGGTACTCTGTGTAGGGGCTCCAACCCCACGTTTCCCCTCTGCATTGCCCTAGTAGAGGTTCTCCATGAGGGCTCTGCCCTTGCAACAGACTTCTGCCTGGACATCCAGGCATTTCCAAACATCCTCTGAAATCTAGGCAGAGGCTCTCAAAGCTCAACTCTTGTCTTCTGTGCACCCATATGCACAACACCATGTGAAAGCTGCAAACACTTGGGGATTGCACCCTCTGAAGCAATGGCCTGTGCTGTACTTTGTCCCCTTTTAGCTACAGCTGGAAGTGGAGTGGCTGGGATGCAGGGCACTATGTCTCAAAGCTGCACAGAGCAGCAGGGTCCTGGGCCTGGCCCACAAAATCATTTATTCTTCCTTTAGACCTTTGGGCATGTGAGGGGAGGAGCTGTCATGAAGGTCACTGGCATGCGCTGAGGACATTTTCCTCATTGTCTTGGCTATTCACATTTAGCTCATCTTTACTTATGCAAATTCCTGCAGCCTGCTTGAATTCCTCCCCAGAAAATGGGTTTTTCTTTTCTGCCACATGATCAGGCTGCAAATTTTCCAAACCTTTATGCTCTGTTTCCCTTTTAAACAAAAGGTCCAATTTCAAACCATCTCTTTGTGAATGCATATAACTAAATGCTTTCAGAATAAGCTAAATTATCTCTTAAATATGTTGCTGCTTTGAAATTTCTTCTGCTAGATACCCTAAATCACCTCTCTTATGTTCAAAGTTCCACAGATCTCTAGGACAGGGCAAAATGCTGCCAGTCTCTTTGCTGAAGCATAGCATGAGTGACCTTTACTCCAGTTCCCAATAAGTTCCTCATCTTCATCTGAGACAATCTCAGCCTGGACTTCATTGCCCATATCATTATCAGCATTTTGGTTAAAACCATTCAACAAGTCTCTAGGAAGTTCCAAACTTTCCCACATATTCCTGTCTCCTTCTGGGCCCTCCAAACTCTTCCAGCCTCTGCCAGTTATCCAGTTCCAAAGTCACTTTCACATTTTCAAGTTACCTTTATAGCAGTACCTCACTCTGCTGGTTCCAGTTCTCTGTATTAGCCTGTTTTCACACTGCTATAAAGATACTACTTGAGACTGGGTAATTTATAAACAAAGATGTTTAATTGACTCACAGTCCTGCATGGCTGAGGAGGCCTCGGGAAACTTACAATTAAGGTGCAAGGTGAAGGGGAAGCAAGGCACGTCTTACATGGCAGCAAGAAGAGAGAAAGATTGAGCACAGGGGAAACTGCCACTTTTAAAACCATCAGATCTGGTGAGAACTCCCTCAATATAATGAGAACAGTGTCGGGGAACCACCACCACAATCCAATCACTTCCCTTCAGGTCACTCCCCCAATACCTGGGGATTATAATTCAAGATGAGATTTGAGTGGGGACACACAGCCAATCTATATCAATAAGCATGTATGTATACGTGTGGATAAGTGAAGTTATAGTATATGGAGAGCACTTTTAAAGTCAGCAATAATAATGGACTTGACCTATTATATAAACATCTACCTACTGTTATGGTTTGGGTCTTGACCTCACCAAATCTCATGTTAAAATGCATTCCCCAGTGTTGGGGACTGGTGGATCATGAAGGTGTTGGATCATCGCAGTGGATCCCTCATGAATGGCTTGGCACCATCTTCTTGGTAATGAGTAATTTCACACAAGGTCCAGTTGTTTGAAAGTGTGTGGCACCTCCCACTCTCTCTTGCTCCTGCTTTTACCATGTGACCTGCCTGATTCCACTTCACCTTCTGCCATGAGTAAAATCTCCCTGGGGCCTCTCCAGAAGTAAAGCAGATGTTGGTGGCGTGTTTTCTGTACAGCTTCCAGAATGGTGAGCCAATTAATTCTCTTTTCTTTATAAATTACACAGTCCTGTGTATTTCTTTATGGCAACAGTAGAACAACCTGACACACTACCCCAATCAATATTATTATTTTAAAATGTATATAGAAGTGTTCAGGATTAAATACTTGTTTTAAGAGTATTTAAAACTAGAAAATATATATGTAAAATTTCTCAGATGGTATAATCCAACCAACAGAGGTCAATCACTATTGTGATTAACTGGTAATTGTATTGGCTGAGAATTGAAAATAAAAATTTCTGACTGGATTATGTATGTTCTAAGGAAAAGGCCATTTTGAATCAAATGTATTCCAGTGCCTACACTGGTTAAATATTGCATGAGTATCATTGAAAGATGCTGGCTCAGCAGGAAGCCTGGGCAGAAGAAATGACTTTCTTAGGTGGAATGATGAGGTCATTTAATCTGCTTCCAAATCCTTGACAGGGATTAATATCCCATTAAGAAAGTAATAAACACCTTCATAATAAACACATGGGGTGGGGCGCATTTTCCATCATTTCAACAGCAAGGCTTTCTTTTAATTTCAACCATCACGTGCCTTCTATACACTCATAGTTATTTACAGTTTCATCAAAACTAAATCATATTATAATGAGTAATAACAAATACCATTTGTTGAGCACAAATTATATGTTAGGCACTATGCTGAGTACCTTGTATGCCTAATCATATATTTAAATAGACTCTGTTTTAGATAGTATCAATATCCTAATTTAAGTGTTGACTAGCCAAAGTTCACGATGCTAGCATGTGGCACTGCTGAAATTTGAATACCTTTATTTCATTCTAGAGGTCATACTCTTAAGTAAGCAGCCATTTTTCTTACCTGCTGTCTTAGTCTGTTTAGACTGCTGTAACAGAAGACACAGACTGAGTGGCTTATAAACAATAGGAATATATTGACACATTATTGGAATTCCAAGAACAAGGTATCAGGAGATTTGATCCCTGGTGAGAGTTGGCTTTCTAGTATTTTTGGTGTGTTCTGACTTGGTGGAAAGGACATGGGAGCTCACTGGGACTTCTTTTACAAGAGCTAACTCTTAGGTCATTGGGATAATGACCTCATCATTTCTCAAAGGCCCTGCCTCCATATGATATCACTTGAGGATTAGGTTTCAACATATAAATGGTGGGGAGGAGCAAATAAATATTCAGTCTGTAAGCACCTGCTTTATTCTTAGTGAAACCAGGACATAAATGAAAACAACTCCAGAACAGAACTGAAACTTTTGGTTTGTATCCTGATTTCACCATTTTTAAATCCTATGCACTTGGTTACTTGTGTTTTCAACTTAAGTCTTTGCTTCTATGGTTCTATGGAAGCTGGAAACTCTTGTATCTAGAATGTGCATATTTTAACATACTGTTCTGCCAGTAATAACACATTCATATGTTGTCAGGCAGATTACTTAATTTCTCTAACAATATTTTCTTGTTTGTAAAATAGGCAGACACATCTGTCCTGCTGTTGTGATAACATTTTTAGGTAAAGGAAGTAAAGGTAATTAACATAGCACCTGACACATCTCTAACCAATAAAACATTAGATTACTCCCCATTTCCTCGAAATAATAGAGAAAAGATAATTTAATATCTATTTATGCATAAATTGAGGGTCCAATAAACCATGGTTTCTTAACCTGAGATTAATGTAATGGGCTTTCTAGCAAGTAATGGAGACAAAATCACAGAGCATATGGTCAGAATGAAGGTGTTCCCACTACTATGCAGCCCTGTGCCCTACAAGTAATGGAAACACAGTTTATAAAGGAAGAAAAGCTATGGGCAGATTTGCATAAGTTAAAGTTCAATGTGTTAGCCAGTATTCAAGCCAGAGTTCTCAGCTAAAGACTTATTTTCCTGGGACCCCAAAGCTGCCAAGTATAGCAGGAGTCATTTGGATGTCAAGCAAGGCAGAACACATGGGAGAAACATTTCTGATAAAGCTCAATATGGATTAGTGCTCTGGAATGATGTGGAAGGAAGGGGTCATAACAATGAAATCTACAAAGAAATAATTCACTTAGTTAATAAAAGGGCTACACAATGATCAAGTTCCTCTAATCCCTGTACCTAAATACTACACACACACACACACACACACACACACACACACACACAAACCACATGGGTGTGCACACATGAATGTCTGTTTACTCAGGATTAGGGAGACAACTACCTAGCAAACAGATTCTCAAAATGCTCAGTAGAAAAAGCAATTGTTTAGTAAGTTCAAATTTCACCTTGTTTACCAGTTATACATTTCAAATTATCCCTCTTGTTAAATTTTAGTTTTGTTTTATATAACTATGTGGAAATTTAGGTGAAATCTATGAAAAAAGCTATTAAAGTGTGAACAATGCACCTTAGAATAAATTTTCCCTATGAAACTTTCCCTTCTAGATCACTACATGTATCTTTTTCATATCCAGCCAAAATTCTGTAGCAGATGAGTATCGTTAGAAGCCCTAATATATGGCAGAGTTTTAAAACAAATGTCTTCTCAGAGAGTAAAGAGATGGAGGTGAAGGCGAGTTAACTTGTGACTAAGTAGAACTAAGCCATAAAGACACAGTAGATATAATTTACTTGTAGCTCCTGGGAGTAAGTTAGAGTCAGTGAGAAGCCATAGGTTAGTGGGTCAGGAAACAGGGATCAAGCCATTCACTTTTGGACTAGGTAAATGAGCTAAAGAAATATGATATAATTGAAAGATGATATCATGGTATGTATTAGGCAAAGTGTGTACCATGGTTCTACCTGTTCAGTCCTGAGAAAGCCACAGCAGTCATTACTGCCAGAGAAGAAGGGGCCAGTCAAAGTGGTGGTTTCTCATTGGCTAGAGAATAACTCCTCTATGGTTAGGGAAGTGCTCCTTGATGTCAACCACAAACTAGGTTAGATCTTTGTGTTATGCTGCACAGAGCCCTGGAGCTCTACTTCAAAACTCCCATCAACCTACTTATTAAATCAGTTACTATTCTATTCACTGATTAATTTAACATATATTTATTGAATGCCTACTCTATGTCAGGCACAATGCTAAGCAAGTTGCTCTACTAAGACTCAAACTCCTTACATTTTGGTATTTTTATTTTTACTTAATTTAACTAATTAATAACAGGGTCTCATTCTGCTGCTCAGGCTGGAGTGCAGTGGTGCAATCTCAGCTCACTGCCATCTCCACCTCCCAGGTTCAAGTGATTCTCATGCCTCAATCTCCGGAGTATCTGGAGCAACAGGCATGTGCAACCACACCCAGCTAATTTTTGTATTTTTGGTAGAGACAGAGTTTTGCAATGCTGCCCAGGCTGGTCTCAAACTCCTGAGCTCAAGTGATCTGCCCACCTTGGCCTCCCAAAGTGCTGGGATTACAGATGTGGGTCACCGTGTCAGCCCAAAGTTTTTGGATATAAGGGAACCTTCAGTCCATGAGTTCCCTAAGGCCAGAGACTATTAATTTTTCATGTATAAGCCAAGACCATGATCTAATATATGGCAAATAATCTTTATAGTATGATGGAATTTAACTAAATGATCCCCCAGGACTGCTCAAGCTCTACTATTCCAGAATAATGAGGATAATGATAATAATGACAACAATGATGATGCCAATTTGATAATAATAACTAGCACTTCTTAATGTTCACGAAATGCCAGGCTCTCTGCTAAATACTTCACATGAATTAAGTCACACGATACTCAGACAAGTATATGAATCAGTCATTATTATTGCTTACATTTTATATATAAGGAAAGTGAGTCCTAGTTTAGTGAATGGACAAAATCTTGAGAACAAAAAACTGTAGAACTAGGGATCAAACCCAGGATGACTGATTCTAAAACCATCATGTGATAGTATCTTCTTTCTGCAGAAACATTTGCCAATGATAGATCAGTATTTCTGTGGGTAACATCAGCAGTAAACTACAAATACATTCTTTCCAAATACAAATTTTAAAGGCAGAATAAGTGTCTGTTAAATACAATTTGAGATTTTTCTTCTATCCATCACACTCAATGCAGTTAAAAATTCAGGTACGTTTTTTTACAGCCTCCCTTGCCATTTAACTTACCTCTCCATTACTTTGGCAAAAGCATCACCATGGCAACCCTTCTCTTCCAATTGTGTTTACACTAATGTTTTTCCATTTTAACCACTGACTTTGAGAGTTCTCTCTAACTCTAGCTCTACTGTAAGTTAGGATAACACAGTTGTAAATGGCAAAATTGTACAACCGAAGAAGGCTTTGAGCAGTCCCTGAGCTAGAATCATTCACAGAGAAATAACAGTAGTAGTGGTAGTAATAGCAATAAAACAGCTGCTCTTTATTAAATTTATATGATATACCAGGACATCTAGGAAGTCTCCTATGTATGATATTTAATTCCTCCAAATAGTCCTGTGCGAACGATATTACAGATAGGAAACTAAGACACAGTGAGGTTAAGTAATTTTCTCAAGGTCTAATACTTAGTAGCTGATAAATATGTCTGATCAAATTTGTCACACTCTATAGACCACTCTTTTTCTTAAATCATAATGGCCTTTGCAGTGTGAGTTTTAGGGACACCTACATCTACCTTTAGCTGGTTAATCTCCGGCAAGTAATTTCCATGTCAGTTGATTTAAATGGACTTTCCTAGAAGCAGAGTCTAAGACTGGGATTCTTGTGAAAGTGATTTATTGAAGGAATGCTCCCAGGAAAAGGTATTAATGGGATGTTTCAAGTTCATTTTCTTCTTCTTTCCTCTTCTCTCTCTCTCTCTGACACACACACATGCACAAACACACATTCACATACATCATCATCATCACCATCATCATCTATACATAAACCTTTGCCTCATATCTAAGTCGTAGGAGAGAAAAAATATGAATCACTAAATTGAAATCAGGTATGCAACTATGGTTCCATGAAATCTGGCCAAGAGAACAGGATTATATGGTAAACACACTGACACCAATATAACACTTCAGATAAGGGTCAGTTTTCAATAAAGAGCAGTAAACGTGCATCCCCTCAAAACTATCCTTCACATTTAGCCTCAAATAAGTATCTGTAATACACAGCTGATTATAGCCACTGGCACAATAGATCTATAAACTCGTTCATAGCTTTAATACAGGTTGTATTATTTAACCACCAGAGTAGCCCTGGAGGTATTTTCTTTAATTTGCAAATTAGTAAAGAGCTCAGAGAACCAAATAATGTGTCTGTGGTCACTGACTGGCAGCAACAGAATCGAATTTGCTTTTTACCACACCATGCATCCTCACATCCCAGCTGCCTTAACAGATCCACTATTTCCAGGAGAACTGTTGTAGGAGTGTGAGAGTGCGTGTTCCTTTTATGATTCTCTCCATCCTTCCTCCTTCATTAAAACAGGGTCAAGAAGGCTAGCTCAGGTCTCAGCAGGCTCCTTTTAAGGAACAGCACCAGCGTTCCCTGGAAACCATTCATCTTCCCTCCCTTACCAGAAGATCATCTACAGCCTGCCACTCTCACTGCTAGACTGTTTAGATAAACATCTCACAGATAATCTTTTTTCTCCTTTCTTTTCTACTTGAAATTTTCCCCATCTTTCTTTCCTCTGCAATTTCCAAGGACTTAATCTTAGATAAGGGCAAAAATTTTCAAACTAGAAAGAATTTCTGTGGGTTCATTTGAAGTATAAACAACTCTCAGAAATTCAATTTCACCACTGCATAAGGAATGCCTGTGATAGGCCAAGTACCAGAGGAAGATTTGAAGATGAAACAGAAGTAAGGTGGCTTAATGTTGAGAAACATTAAATACATATTTTTAAAAATCAAACTTTGTGATTAAGAAAAATATGGTTTGTTTTTTAAATTGCTAGGAGTTACTGAGGGCATACTATGTTGCTCGTACAGTATTCTCTGCTTTATAAATGTTTTCTTATCCAATCTATTTAATGACCCTTGGGTTTGCATTATAATCACTAGTTTACTGATGAAATATGGAAACTCATGAAAATATGGCTAACAGCAATCCCATGTGAAATTCAAATATACATTTTGTTTATTCTTTTTAATACAGGGTAGTTTCCCTTATCTATGGTTTCATTTTTCACAGTTTTATTTACCCAATGTCAACCATGATCTGAAAATATTACATAAAATATTTTGAGAGTGAGAAAGATCATATTCACATAACTTTTATTGCAGTATATTGTTACAACTGTTCTATTTTATTATTATTGTTTTTAATCTCTTAGTGTGCATACTCTATAAATTAAACTTTATTATACATTTGTAAATATAGTAAAAAAAAAACAGCGTATATAGGATTCAGTACTATCTGTGGTTTCAGAAATCCACTGGGGGTCTTGGAATGTATCCCCCACAGATAAGGGGGGGCTATAGTACCCTCTTTTATCTATTCTACCATTCAGTGAAATACAAGATATAAAACATAGGGGTATAATAAAACACACTAAAATGCCCACAAGATAAAGAGATATAGAAAATATCACATCTGAATGTGAAATTATGGATTCTGTCTTATACTCTAGTCCTCATAATGTGATTGTCAGAGGTTAGTATCCTCAGGCAAGATTTCAGTAGTACTCACAGGTCACATGCTTTAATTTATTTGCAGTAGGTTATAATTCTGTACTATGGGCAAGTGGGAAACAGGTGTTCCGAATCAAATTGGAAATTATTGATGGGGGAATGTGTAGATAATGAAGTTGCCAGAAACCAGTCAGATAGATATGGATGATTAGTGTCATTATACTCATAGAGAATGGGAAATGAGAAAGGGGAATAAAGAAAAGGAGGCAGGCAGTTCAAGACATCACAGAAGGTGATATAGAAGACTAAGCCTAAACTCTGAGTTTTACTCTGCATCTTGCTTCTTATGTGGTTTTATCTACGTTATTTACCACTTACAGCTTCAATTCTCTCAGCTGTAATTTTATTGTGAGTGATCACATGTAAACACAATGCCTAACATTAGATAAGTGTTCAAAACATATTATCTGAAGTTCACAGAATAGGTCTGCAAATTCGGCTCATCCCTTGTCTCTGTTTCACTTAGATTTGAGTCCTACCTGCCTCCATCTGTTGAAAGACATCCTTGGTGTCTTGTAGGTGCCAGCAGCCCTGGAGAATGGAAAAGACAGGGAGCCCCATCTCTAGGAGTAGGAAGTAAGACACACATATCTCATATTTTGCATTAATTTCCCATTTTAATCCCACTAAAATGTGCATAGAGACAAATGAATCCATTCACGTGGGAAATTGGATCATTTGCCTTGACTTCCTCTTTTCAATAGCACTGTTGCCCTCATGTCAGATATCTGTACCTCCCGAGGATAGGAATCCTCGTTTTTTTACAAGGACTTTAAGGAGATGAAAGTTGCTACAGAGCTGTAAAACGTGCTGCAGAGTAAGTCAGATCTCATCCAAACAGCCACAGATAGACGTTGATGGATTTGGCAATTATATCATCCGAGCATCTAATATGTAAAAGGAACATATTTCTGTCTCTCTCTTAAAGACTTCATGGGATGCTGACCATGGCTCTGTCTCGCCTCTCTCCTCGCAGCAGTAAATTTCAATGGAATTAATAGCTGAGCTTCTTTGAGCTGGCTTTCTGATACGACTATATTAAAGGACAGCAGTAAATATTATAACTTTCATATTGATAGCCTCATCTTCCCACACATTCTCCAGTGGTGGCTGATGAAGAATCTCTAGTGCGATGATGGAGCTGTGGTTGTCTTCTTAAGGAAACCACATTGCCTAAGGTTAGGATCCTCAACGATATCTACTTTTGTTCTTCTGGGTACCATGCGTATTAATGGAAAATGTGAAATAAAAGAATGGGTAATTAAGTAAGATTTTAGGGATCTTTAGATAAAAAATCTAATGTTGAGATCCCTTATTAGAGGTAAAGGGGATATTTTCACTATTTCAACAAGTATTAAAAGAGCTTGAACTTTGGCTCAGATCATGAATGCAGTGGTTAAAATGTAAAATGCCTGTTCCTTTGGCTGGAGTATGTCACCTCACCATGGACACACTGGTTATCTCTTGCTGAATCAGCTCTGACAAGCACTGATGAATGTCTTTGATTAATAAAACATTGGGAATCAAATTAAATATTACTGAATACATGTAGTGTCTTTGGTAGACAAGATCTTTCAATATACACAGGCTTTTCATGGGTGGAAGATAGTAACAGCTAATAATAAAAGTTAGATTTTACTGGGCACCTGTCATGTGATAGGCACTGTTCTGAGTGCTTTACAAGTAATGTATTTCTAATTTTTATAACAAGCCTGTAAGATAGGTTCAGTTTTTATTTTCACTTTACAAATGAGAAAAATGTAGCACTTTGGCCTGGAATTTGCAAGGTCTGGCTCAAGATATTGTTGTCTTATCCACTATAATATGCTTTAAAACTATTATAATAATGAGATGTTCAGTAGTGTAATAGGCTGAATAATGGCCACTCAAATATCGGCCCCTACCTAGTCCTTAGAACCTGAAAAATGTTTTAAATGAGGAGAGATTGTCCATGATTATCTAGAAGGGCCCTAAATCCATTGACCATTGACCTTGTCAGAGGGAGGCAGAAGGACATTGTACATGCCAAAGTGAAGAAACTGATGTGAAGACAGAGGCAGAGATTGGACCCATGTGGCCAAAAGCAAGGAAATACTATCAGCTACCAGAAGCTAGAAAAGACAAGGGATGGATTTTTTCCAAGAGCCTCCAGAGGGACAATGGCCCTGACTAAACCTGGTACCTTAATTTCATGCTAGTGAAGTAGTTGTTGATCTTCTGGGCTCTGGAAATGTGAAAGAATACATTTCTGTTACTTTAATCTACAAAGTTTGTAGAAATTTGCTAAGGCAGCCACAGAAAACCAATACAGATTGTGAAAGTAAGTTAACAAAAAATTTATCAAACACTTTATTATATTCATAGAGGAGAGACCATATTTAGACTAGGGTCACTTAGTGATAACTCCAGGGAGTAGAAACCATGTTTGCTGACTCCCAGCCTGACATTTTTGGCTCATAGGAAGCACTTCCTATATTTGAACCAGAATCTCCTCTTGAGTAATCACATCAAAGACTCCTCTTCCTCCAAGGAACTCTTTCTGATTTAAAGTAGCCTTAAACTTGGATAGCAGTGTTTCTTCCTCGCTACATCTCAGTTGAAATCCTGACAAAGTACCTTGTTTCAACATCTATGCTGCTTTTGAAAGAAAATGGAATTTCAACCAGCTAGAATGCAGTGTTTCCATGTTGAAAGATGTGTAACATTACTTATCTTCTATGGCTTTTGTATTAAAAGATGTAATATGTGTACAGGGCCATCTCTAAGTAACACTTGGGTTTTTTAAATTTTATTTTATTCACTTCCTTATCAAATTATCATCCTTCTTTTGGAAGATAAAACAACTACATTTTCTGAAAGATTTTAATTTCTCATTTACACCACTGTTTGTATTTAAATGCATCAGAGGCTGAGCACAGTGGCTCTTGCCTGTAACCTCAGCACTTTGGGAGTCCAAGGCAGGCAGATTACGAAGTCAGGAGTTTGAGATTAGCCTGGCCAATATGGTGAAACTCCCGTCTCTACTAAAAATACAAAAATAATCTGGGCATGGTGGTGGGTGCCTGTAGTCCCAGCTACTCATGAGGCTGAGGCAGGAGAATCACTTGAACCCAGGAGGCAGAGGTGGCAGTGAGCCGAGATCACTCCACTGCACTCCAGCCTGGGCGACAGAGCAAGACTCTGTCAAAAAAAAAAAAAAAAAGCATTAGAGATCCATGGAAAGGTATAGCATGTTGCATGCGTGCGCACACACACACACACACACACACACACAGAGCACCCAGAGGGTTTCAAATGGAAAATTCTTTTTTGAATCATGGGATATGAAGCTTGCAGAACATCAGACAAGGCCTTGTATTCCTTGTTCCTTTTCTCCTCTCTAGACTAGAGATAATTGTTCTTGCCTTACCTCCTCCAGGAAGGCTTGGGAGTGGGGGAAGAGGTTGGTGCCACAAATTACAGGGGATCCAGCACTTTTTTAAACTGGATAATTCTATGTGCATATGAAGGATTAGAATTAAGGTGACTTAATCCATAGTTTTAAGGGCACACCTTGTTTGTGCTAATCCTCCATGTACTGAAGCAAGAAGCATGACATCTTTAAGACATTTAAGAAGTATTTACAGGTACTATGGTGGGGCTGTAAGATATAATCTTTCAGATCTTAGAGATAAATCCACATTTTATAGCAT
The DNA here is from genome assembly GCF_000001405.40 of Homo sapiens. Classification (NCBI taxonomy): domain Eukaryota; kingdom Metazoa; phylum Chordata; class Mammalia; order Primates; family Hominidae; genus Homo; species Homo sapiens. Next base: position 63,573,230 of record NC_000016.10, read on the forward strand.
CACTTTCTCACCACTGATGTTATTTATTTATTTATTTATTTATTTAAATATGTTGATCTCTTCTTCATGACCTCATTTAATAATGCCCTCCTTGGGGAAAACCTCCCCAATTGTTCAAGGTAGAGTCTTTTTTTTGATCCACGTCCCATGCTTATTTCATGTCCCTGTAACAGCACTTATAACTGGCCTGTAATGGATATTTTCAAGTCTGTCTCTTCTGCTAATTCCCTGAAATGCACAGGTTATTTAAGCCAATCTGCACCATCCTATTCCTAACTATGCAACTAGAATGTTAATGTATGCATAATACACCCTCTTCAATGGTGACACCCAGAGATATCGGTAAAAGCCAAATTCTAACATCATCTTTCAATTCATCTGCTCAGCTGAATAGCATTCAGAGCTAATTCTTGACTCTGAATTAATTTCTTTTAATATCCCTTTCCCTGGTTTCATTTCACTTGGACCACTTCCACCATTTTGACCTGGTCCTTCTCCTTGACTATGATTCGAATCCTACTCCCAAGCAAGTGACGTTCTAGTTAAAAAAATACATTTTAGAGGAGCCCTTCATAGGAAACTCACACATTGGCCTAACTACAAGACTAGGAAGATCATAAAATATGATCTCCTCATGGTTGGGGATGTATCTCCCTATACTCCTTTATCCCTTTGACCAGGAATTTTGACATGATTTATACATTATCACTGAACACATAATGAGAATAAATCTTAGGAAGATTAAATTAAAATACTCTAAGGACATTAAGATCTCACTGTACTATAAAATCCTGCCCCCACTTTATTTTAATTCAGATATAATGAACATCAACTATATGCTAGGCACTAAAGATCCAGTTATAAACCAGACATTCTGGAGATGCATACAACACAGTCCTGAAGACCAGCAGAGGAGAAAGTAGGATGTTATAACCCACAGTGAAAAGTGCTTTGGTGGGGAAAGTCCCCTATGAGAAGGAAGTAAAAGAAGAGAACCTATTCCAGACTAAATGGAGTATAAGCATAGATTCTAAACTGTAGTGATGTTGGGCACAGTGGCTTATGCCTGTAATCCAAGCACTTCAGAAGATGGAAGCGGGAGAGTTTCTTGGGCCCAGTAGTTTGAGACCAACCTGGGCAACATAGGAAGACTCCATCTCTACAAATAATAAAAAAATAATTAGCAGAGTGTGGTGGTGCACACCTGTGGTCCCAGCTACTCAGAAGACTAATGTGGAAGATCTCTTGAGCCCAGGAGTTCAAGGCTACTGTGGGCTATAATCGCACCACTGCTCTCCAACCCTGGGTGACAGAGTGAGACCCTTTCTCAAAAAATTAAAAAAATTAAAGTTAAAAGAAATAAAAAATAAAAGGAAGTGACTCATGAAGGAAGAGGGATTAGTCACGTAAAAAAGGAGGGAGAAAGCAATCCTCAATTCTCCTTCTCTCATCTCTCTTTACTTTCAAAATTCTTAAAAGCATATTGAACATCTTGCAGTGTTTGAAGCTATTTCCTTCTAATATCCTCATTTCCCTCCACTTTCTTTAGGCTATTTATCTTCATTTTGTAAAATCCTCTCTGTAATTAGTCAGATATGATAAGTAATAAAGCAACTATATCTCAGTAATTCTGGTTATAAAGTCAAACTGATTTTATAGCAGTCCTATCACAAAACTATATGGGTTATTGTTGAAAGCCGTTTAAAGTATGATCTTTGGGTTTATGCCACACCCCACGCACACAAGTTGGTTTTATTCAAAAGACACAATTGGGTGGTTCCTGTAATAATAGGGATCATAATTTTCAGTGACTACCAAAGCTCTGTTCCTTGGTATTTAAACCCAAGTTCTAAAGAATTTGTGACATTATATTTCAGGCTCTCCTCTTATGACTGGAGGTAGAGTGTTTTAAGAGGCTTATTAAAGGTTTGAAAATACAAGTCATGTTAGCATGGAGTAACAAAGCTATTTAAAATAACTAAGGGTTGTCACCCACAGAGATTGAAACAGGTCAAAAGGTCCAGAATAACTACTGAGTTCATTTATATGCAAATACTTTCTCAGACGTGTGAGTCTTCAGCTCTGATATTTAGCAAGGCCAGCTGGAGGAGATTCTAGTGCAAGGGGTTATTACCCATTACAATCTATCTAAAAGGATATTGCATAAACTTCAAACTAAGGTTTACATAAACAATAGTAAAAGCAAATTCTCACAATTTTGTGTAGGGCTTTGCAGCGTATGGAGTCTTTAGCTCTTAGGTTCCCTCTCCCCTGTTGAATTTGATTGAGTCCTTTCCCATCACACAGATACTGATTTCTACAGGGCAGTCATTCTCCACATTTTCATAACCACGTTTTTCTCTACTCTCTGACTTCTTTCTTGCTCTCAGAAGCTAAGCTAGGTAATAGCAGCATTTCCTTCTGTCCAGACCCCAAGGCAAAGCTGATCAGTCAACCTCTGCTTCCATTCCTCTGAACAGCTCTTGGCCACTTCAAGTGTCCAATGTAGGAGACAATAATGAAAGTGACAGTAATCATGACTATCTCATTTATGGTGTCTCAGGTGTGACCTTTAGCTCAACTTTACCAGATGGACTTGTTAGTACTATTTCCATTTCCTAGATCAGGAAATCAAACGTCTGAAAGAAAGACACATAATTTGTTATTGGCTTAGCTTGGATCCAAAATCAATTTTGTCTGACTGCAAATACTACACTCTCATACACAGGCAGAAGTTATTCTCTGAACTTCTGCTTATACAGCCACATCATTAAAATCAAAATTCTAACTTCTGCTGTTATTACCAGAAATAAATTAACATGGCAAAGCAAATGAAACACATTAAGTGCTCAATAAATAATATTTTTTCTTCTTATTTTATTTTTCTACTAGAATCCTTGGTAACAAGTAATATAAATTTGTTCATCTGGTACAGTGACAGGTACATGATAAGTGCTTAAGAAACATTTCCTGGGAAAAGAAATGAATGAGAAAATGAATAAATAATAAGCCAAAAAAAATAGATGGATGGATGGTTTGAAATTTCCTAATAGTCTTTTCATTTTCCTTTGAGTTTTTCTAGACTTGGAATTCCTTCAGTTTTTCTGAAAGCAGATGAGAAATTTGGAGGGAAGGGGCTACTAGATATCTTTCTTCCATGTGGGTAAGGCATTGCAAAAGCACTTCTTAATTTTTCTATTATTTATATTTCCTCGTGTTCATAATTGATGCTGTCTTCCTGACTCCCTCCAGTTATAACGTATACACCTAAAAGTGGTAGAGAGGTTTAATTCCACAATTATAAATATAAATTTATTATTAGGCTAACACAAAAATTATCTGCCATAAATTAGCCATCAGGTATATATTGAGTAACAACCCATGTACCAGATGTCCCTTATAAATAAAAAGGATGGCCAGGTGCGGTGGCTCATGCCTGTAATCCTAGCACTTTGGGAGACTGAGGCAGGCAAATCACTTGAGGACAGGAGTTTGAGACCAGCCTGGCTAACATGGTGAAACCCCGTCTCTACTAAAAATACAAAAATTAGCTGGGCTTGGTGTCTTGTGCTTGTAATCCCAGCTACTTGGGAGGCTGAATCAGGAGAATTGCTTGAACCCAGGAGGCAGAGGTTGCAGTGAGCCAAAATTGTGACATTGCACTCCAGCCTGGGGGACAAGAGTGAAACACCATCTCAAAAAAAAAATAAAAATAAATAAATAAATAAATAAATAAATAAGATGTAAATACCCAGTTGAAATTAAACTTTTAAAATAACACATTTCCCAGCACTTTTGTCATTGTAAAATTAAAGGGAATTAAACACCTCAAAGTATATCAACAGATGAAGAATGACTGTGTCACTAATTACTATATATTGATAAAGAAAATGATTGAGATTCTATATATTCTAACATAAATGCACTGCAAAGCATATTGATAAATGGGGGGAAAAGGAAAGTCACAAAATAATACACAATGTACAACTTCATTAATGTAAAAAAAAAGTAAATCCAGACACAGGAAGCTATACATTTCATACATTTTAATATGCAAATATACATACATAATTGCTGTTAAAGGTGGCTATCCCTAGAGAGTAGAAGACTTGGAGGGTTTAGGTGAGACTTTCATATCTTTTGCTGCATATTACGCAGTTTGTGATTAAACAAACAAAACAGGGTTAGACCTTACTTCAAGATTTTACATTTTATGGGAATGATACGGGCATAAAGTCTTCCCACAGGTGTATATTCTCGGTGGAAAAATCCCTGTGTTCATATTTATAACATACTCTTCTTATATTTATAACTTTTGTGCTTGTGGAATTAAAACAACTATAATAACAAGTGAATTAATTTGAAGCATTACTTGAATAGCAAATCTAGGTCTTTACCTTGCTAATGAAAATATCAAAAATAATCAAGTCCCCGTTCCTTCATACTATACTTGTGAAAACTTACGCCAAGGTAAGGAAGGTTACCAGGTGAAATTACACAGCAAACTCCCAATAGAGTCAAGGAATATACAAGTTGAAAGCCACATTTGGATTGATTATTTGGGTCTTATTTTTATTCTGAAATCAAAGCGAGTAAATAGAGTTTGATCTAAATAGAATTTGAAGGATTTAGTTATCTTAGTGGTGGCAGTGTGTGTTTATTCCACAATACAGAGTAGGCAGAGGTGATATTTAACAATTAGAAAACACTAAGGTATAATCATGCTTTGCTCTTGGTGTTAGTCTGCTGAATACCACTCCTCCCCCTTTCTTTGATCTCATCCTTGCAATTTGAAAGCCAGAGGAATGATAAATGGCCATGAAATACAGACAAAGATTCCTTTTGTTTGTCCCACAGAATAGGAAGATGGTCAAATTGATCAGTCATCAAGCTATAATGATCTGAAATAAATACCAGCCTCTTTGATGTGGCTTAGGAATGCCAGCATCATGGAAGAGATCATTCTTCTGACTTTCATATAATTGAATGATTATGTCTGTTTATGAATGAGCTTCCTTAATTGCTAACTGGTAATCTGGCATCCTGACATGAGTGTATGTGAACTGTGATCCCTCACCCTGCACAAGGGAAAAAAGATTGATCTAAGAGGAATGAATGGAGAGAGAGTTCTCCAAATTAGAAATAATCGAAGCAGAGAGCAGGTGATGAGAAAAAGGCACAAACATTACTCTACCTGCCCTCAAAGAAATGACACTGATTCATCTGAATCAGGCTACAGCCAGGATCTCTGACAGGTACATATTTGTTTATAGAAAACCCCAAGAAAATACGAGAGTCAGTGGGATATTTCCATTTATAAGAAGAGCAAAACCTGCAAAGGCTTAACTATCCTGATCTTGGGGAAGTGTAATATAATACATATATATATATATATATATACACACACACACACACATATATATAGATAGATATAGATATATATAGATATAGATATACACATACACACACACACACACACACACACACACACACACACGTATATAAAGCTACCTGAGCTGGTAATTGAAAGGTATCTGAATAGATCAAGAAATACAAGAAAAATGTTAAAAATGCACCTACTGAAATAAAATAGATGTTGGAGCTAGCAAATATTGTTTTGGCAACATACCATTTTTATTTACTTACTGTGCTACATGAGCAAATTTGCTAACTTTCTGATATCTATTTCCTTCCTCTCTCTCAAAAAGAGGACAATGGGATCACAATTATCTTATTGTGATGACTAAAAGAGGTTACGAAAGTGGCATTGTCCAGTAAAAAGTACTGAGCATGTGGTAGGAACTATCTTTACTTTCTTTTGTTTAACTTGGAATTCAACAAAGGCAGTGGTGTCAACATCTTACCAGACTTTACAAGACAACTGGTAATTTACATTTATTCACAAACACTTTTCTGAGGAATTTCTCCTTCAAAATACAGTAAACTTCATTCATCACTCATTTATTTCTTGTATTTTAGGTATTTAAAACCTCAGTGATCATGATTATTTTAGACTTTTTACAGTTTTTTTATATACTACACTCTCAGGTTCTTATCTCTACTCCCATCCACTTCTCACTATTAATGGAACATTTTTCAAATTTGGATATCTTATGGATAATTCATGTGCAAACTGATAATACATTTCTTAAACCACTACTAAAATTTTCTTTCAGAACATCTCTTATTTGATTACTACATTCATTTCTAATTTGGACAGCTCAAAAAAAATGTACTAGACTTCATTATGTGACAATAACTGGGCAAGGCACAAAACTGATACCTTTCCCACTTTCGTGAAGCTTATTACCTTGAGGAAAATATAGATATATTTAAATTACTGTAAAAAAATTATGTTACAATCTGTGGAATAAGATACCCAGAGGCCACTGGGTAGGGAGAACTCCTCCAGTGGAAATTAGGGGCAATTTCCTAGAAGAAAGAATGTGTGATATGTAACATAATGTGTGTATATATATGCAATGTGTGTATCCTTATAATGTTTACGTGTATGTTATATATATACACATGATGTGCCTGTTGATGATGACAATGATGAGCTTATCCCACACAGAAGGAAAAGTCTGTGCAAAGGTTCTACATCTAGAAGTAATATGGCATATTTCAGTGAGAAATAGATCAACGTGGTTGGAAAGCAAACTGCTGAAGAAATCATGGCAGCAGATGGCTTGGAGACAAGATTCATATTAATCTCTCTTCTCTGAGACCCATTTTCCAGCTCAAACCAAAGTATAATTTTGTCAGGGATAATCAACCACTTTCTCCGTCTTATTCCCTAGGCCCCGTTACCAAGATTGTGAACTTATGATGATCTTTTGGGATCTTCCTGCTTTCCCTCACCCACAGCATCAACCTGATTATTTCCTCATACTCTTACCATACATGTAACTTTAGCTGGTCCTCTTCTCTTCAATCCCCCACCTGTTTTCATATGTCCAAATAGGGGCATATTTGTCCTTATCAAATATGTCATTTTCATACAGTCATTATCCTTTAAAGAAAAACGAAATCCTATCATGATGTTGCCTCAGACAAAATTCCCCATTGCTTTAAAGCTAAGATTGTTAATTCTACACAAGAACACAGACCCATTCTATAATCCTGCCTACATTTTCCAGCAAAATAACTAAATGCATGTGCAGTAGATGAATGAATAAATTATCTAAACTACATTTTCCCTCTCTTCTTTTCCAATTACCCACTGGCAATGGTTCTCAAATCATCGTGTGCTTCAGAATATTCCTAGAAAGTGTCTTAACATTCAGATGTGCAAGCCCTATGTCTTCTGATGTTTATCCATAAAGTCAGGTTCAGGTCGAGAGTATGAATATTTAACACAGAGATTCTCTGCTTACAAACTAAAATTTAAGATGTAATGTCTTCTGTGGGTTAACAAACTCTCTCCCTTTTCTAATGACAATAAGACCTTTGGTTAACTTTCTCCACTCCTCTGGGGATTTGGTCAAGGTAGATTATCATGTGTTATTAAGCAACATGGCTTATGGCAAAAACAACCCCTGATTATTAAGTTGTGTCTGAATTGGAGTTTCTATATATAGATCACACAAAAATTTGATTTAGAGCTCCAACTTTGGAATTCCATAAGTAGAGGACTCTAACTGTAATGTCCTATGTGGAAATTCTGGAAGCCATGCTCTGGAGTGATTGATACTGGCTCATGTTGGAGATAAGTTTCTAAATTAGGCTGGATTACACACCTTCAAGGTATGAGTTTTCTTTCATTACCTGAACTTTCACCTGGTAGAGGTAAGGGAATCTGGCAAAAAATACTTCCTATCTAGCTGTGTGAACAGTGGACTTCTACAAGGGCATACTGACTGGCTAGTATGCTGTGTGCTTCCTGGACTAAATCCTTCTGAGTAGCTGCAGCTAGGCATAGCTTGTGATAGTCTTGTAAATGTTAGTATTTATTTGGAGCTAAGAAGAAGAGCCCTTGGTGGGTATTGTCTCTAACATTAATATGTATGCTTTCTCAAACCCTATAATTTCATGCCTTCATATCTTTGCTCACACTATCTTCCTCTTGGATGTAGCTCCCCATCCTGCTCTACCATCCTCCAAGGTTTGCCTTAAATGCTTCTTTAACTTTTTTAGTTCTTCCTCAAGGAAGAATAAATTGTTTCCTTCTCTGTACTTGCATTGCATGACACCATGTCCATGTTCTTTTTTTTTTTTTTTTTTTTTTTTTGGAGACAAGAGTTTCACTCTTGTTGCCCAGGCTGGAGTGCAATGATGTGATCTTGGCTCACTGCAACCTCTGCCTCTGGGTTCAGGCAATTCTCCTGCCTCAGCCTCCCAAGTAGCTGGGATTACAAGCATGTACTACAATGCACAGCTAATTTTGTACTTTTTTTTTAGTAGAGACAGGGTTTCAGGCTAGTCTCAAACTCACGACCTCAGGTGAACCACCCGCCTCGGCCTCCTAAAGTGCTGGGATTACAGGCATGTGAGCCATGGCACCCGGCCCACATTCTTTTTTTAGTACTTACTGTCATTACAGTTATCTGTAAAGTGTCTGTCTCTCTTCTTGAGGGCACTATGTGACTTTGCATTTTGAAGTTCCAATGTCTTGCACAATTCCAGGAACAGAATAAATGAACAGCTGTTTGTGAATCCCCACTAAATCACTGAGATGATACTGGGTGTCTTGAGATCAAGTTCAAATCATACGACTTCTTCAAGATTTAGGCAATAGCTACTTCCTTAAGAGATTCTTTTTCTAAAACTCTATATGCCTCATTCCTGGGACTTAGTCTCTTTCTTTTAATGATTCATATTACTTTCAATTGTTGTGTGGTTGCATTATTATCATGACTGTAAATCAGTTATCATGTGCCTAATTTTCTCCCCTCAGAATATTCCACTCTTGAGAGAAGGAGTCATATCTTAATCTTTACATTGTTTAAAATGCCAAAATTGAAAAGTGAATGCAAAGGACATGCAATAAAAAGTTTTTAAAAATACATTAAACTGCAGTTTCAGGATTTAATGATTTAGATTATGGTTGTTTAAGAATCTGTTTATTAAGTTGTTAAAATGGGTCTGATTTTGCTAACTTCTAAATAAAAGAACACATTTCGCCTTGTTCCATAATCATTATTTCCATTCAAATAGCAGTTGCTAGTTCACAAACCACTTTTACATTCATTATGTTATGTGATCCAGATAATAGTATTTTATAAATACGGAGAAGGTATGAAATAAAGGAAAGAGCACTGATTTAGAACCAAAGAAAACTAACTGTTCAACTCTGTCTCCAGGACTTGAAGAAGACATATAAATTATTTCATGAAGTTTAACATGAAAAATAAAGATGTTGTAACCTGCAATGATTGATAAAATTTTAAATTTCTGTGATCACCTTATTTTATGAAGTAAGCAAAAAATAGCATATTTCAGCCGAGTTAAAACTGCAACTACTTGTAAAAAAAAAAGGAAAAGTAATAATCAGTTACTACGGAGCACAAAAATGTTTGAGTCCCTAAACAATGCCATTATTCTGAGCAGCCTCAAGGAGATTTAACAAATAAACATTAGAATTCTGCATCTATTAGATCCTAAGTACATAAAATAACAATATCATTTTTCAAGGTAACAATCTCGGAAGAGACTGAATAATGAAAAGTAGGGCCATTCTTCTATTAAGAATTGGAGTCCACACTATAGTAAGACCCAGTTCTAGGTCTTGGAAGGAACTGTTACTTCTGATGATACTTTGAGATGTAGCTTGACCTTTTCCTTTTTCCTTCGGCTGAAAATGGAAGCCAGGTAGTCTGTCTAGTACTCGCTTCACCTGCAAAACTGAATTTTCTTAGAATATTGGTGTACCATGTCTAAAGACAAATAGTAAGTAACTAGGTAGCCTAGGTGGTAGATGTCAGCTCTAGCTTCTATGTTCAAATCACTAAAAACAAATGCCCCATTTTCTTTCAAATTCAGAGTCTAGTGTGAACAATACATAATTAAAGAAAATACCTAATTCGATTGGTTTTTTGGGTAGCAAATGAGCGATTATAATGCCTTATTTTTGCCCTACACCTGAAAAACTTGTAGTTCAGGAAGATAGGTAGAAAAGTAGGCAGGCAGGTAGATTAGATAGATGAACAGCTAGCTAGCTAGCTAGATAGATGAACAGCTAGCTAGCTAGCTAGATAGATGATAGATAGATAGACAGACAGACATAAGGAAAAGGCTGGAGATAGTAAAATGATGATTACCAGAGGCTGGGAAGGGTAGTGGGGGTAGAGGTAGGGCAGAGAGTGAGGATGGTTTATTGGTACAAAACTGTAGTCAGATAGGATGAAAAGATATAGTATTTGATAGCACAACAGGATGACTACAGTGAACAATAATTTATTGTACATTTAAAAATAACTAAAAGAGTATAACTGGATTGTTTGTAAGACAAAGAGAGGTTAAACGTTTGAGGTGCCAGATATCCCGTTTACCCTGATGTGGTTATTATGCATTATATGCCTGTATCAAAATATCTTACATAACCCATAAATATATATACCTACTATGTGCCCACAAAAATTAAAAGGAAAAAAAGCTGGAGGTATTTAACTTCCTATCTGATGGCTTCAAAGTTGGTTATTGCCATGGTTTGAGTGTTCTCACCAAAACTCATGCTGGGACATTAATCTCAGTGCAGAGATGTTGGGAGGTGAAACCACTAAGAGGCGGGGCCTAATGGTAGACACTGGGCCATGGGGCCTCCACCCTTGTGGACAGAGTCCTGCAGTGAGTCAATCCTCTCTCTCCAGAGACGACATTAGTTTTGGTGGAATGGATCAGTTCCCAAGAGAGAGGGTTGTTATAAATCAAGGTCTCCCCTCCTGTTTGGCTCCTTTGGCTTTGTCTGCTTTCCCTTTGACCTTCCAGCATGTTATGAGATAGCATGAAATCCTCAGGAGAAACCAGACAGATGCAGGCGCCATTCTTGTTGGACTTCTCAGTTCCAGAGAATCCTGAGCCAAGAAACCTCTTTTCTTTAGAAATTATCCAGTCTTAGGTATTCTGTTTTAGCAACAGAAAACAGACTAGGGCACTCATGTAATAGTAGATCCAGCCAGTGCGGTGGCTGACGCCTGTATTCCCAGCACTTTGGGAGGCCGAGGTGGGTGGATCACGAGGTCAAAAGATCAAGATCATCGTGGCCAACATGGTGAAACCCTGTCTCTACTAAAAATACAAAAATTAGCTGGGCGTGGTGGCACATGCCTATAGTCCCAGCTACTCGGAAGGCTGAGGCAGGAGAACCACTTGAACCTGGAAGGCGGAGGTTGCAGTGAGCTGAGATGGTGCCACTGCACTCCAGCCTGGCAACAGAGCAAGACTCCATTAAAAAAAAAAAAAAAATATATATATATATATATATATACACATGTATATATATACACGTATATATATATATACATATACGTGTATATATATACGTGTATATATATACATATATATATATACGTGTATATATATACATATATATATACGTGTATATATATACACGTATATATATATATATATACATATATATATATATATATATATATATATATATAGTAGCCCCTACACTGACTCACACACACATACACACCACACAGCCTCAGCTTGCCTCAGTGGTCTCACTTATTGCTGTGGCCATCCATATGCCTCCTTCTTTAATGGATATGCCAATTTTTTTTAGCTCTGTTTATCTATAAATTTGAATAAATTCTATATCAGTGTGTTAACAATTTAACAAATATTATAGTTCAAGTAGGAGGGAGATGATTTTAGCATGTTTTCCTCCCACTGTCCTGAAACAACTATGCTATTATGTTTCCGTAATCAATACATGTACAATGATTTAATGCAAAAGGTAACAACCCGTATCTCCCTTTGCAGATTTCTCTGAAGATTTGTTTATTTTCATTGTTTCGTTTACTATTTGTGTTTTAATTACACATTTCCCTTTGCCATCCCCCCCAAAATGTGGAAGGTAAACTCTCCTGGTAGCCCTCCAGCTGAGAAAACACAATAGCTTTCATAAACATTGAACTAATCAATTAGAATTTAGGGCTCTCATTTTAATTTATAAAGCTAGTTGTTTCAGATCTGAGTGAATCTAAAGATTAAGGTTTGATTAAAGGCATTAAACAAGTGGGTAAGATGTTTCTCTAGCTCTTTAGTGTTTAAGGAAAAAAAGCGTGCTCCACCAAATGATACAGAAGCAATGTTAATGAGTGCCTTGTCTGTTGCTTGCATTAATTAAAGCTATTCTCTTTTCCTTTTTAACTTCAAAGTACTTTGTATCAATGATAATTAATTGGAAAGGCCACTGCAGTTCTTCTTGACAGAGACCTGGAAAGGAGATTTGATTTTAGTTTTAAGTCGTTAGCAATTCAAGCCAACAGTTTACATGTCTCATTCATTTTACTTTATTGCTTTGGAAATGTGTGTCCAGTTTCACAGTGTCTTGTATGTATTCAGAGTGTAACAATACATTAGCCATATTTTAAATATTTGAAATGAGTTTCAAAGGAAAAAAATGAAAGAAAAAAATAAAAGTTGAAATGCTGTGAACTTACAAATATTGACGGTAAAACAACTCTCAATGTTGCTTAATTCATAAAAGATGTTGGGTTATCTGTGATATTTCTGAAGATCAGAATCTTTTTTAAAATGTTGCTCTCTTGATCCCAGGAGCTTGAGGTTACAGTGAGCTATGATTGCCCTACTGCATTTTAGACTGGGAGACAGAGCAAGACCCTGTTTTAAAAAAAATGTTTTTAAATATTGTATAGAATTCTATGTAATGAATGGATGTTAGTGTATATGTCTTTACAAATGTGAACGTTTATAGTACTGTACCAGTTTTGCTATTGAAAGATTTCAATAAAATTTAGGCTTGCCTTTTATCATACATGGACGAGGTTTGATTTGCTTTATTTTTGTTTTTATTGTTGTTGTTATTGTTTTTCCCTTTGATAAATACCAGTAAATGTAAATACTAAGCAAAGGTAATGCATATTTAAAATTTCTATAGATGATGACATATTTTGGTCTAAAAATACTGGGATATTCTACATTTTGACTATGAATTTATGAGACTATCCTTTGCCCCACACTGTTGCTGCTGATGAACATGAGTTAGTATTTCCTCCTTTAAACCATTTTTTTTTTTTTGAGACAGAGTCTTGCTCTGTCGCTCAGGCTGGAGTGCAGTGGCATGATCTCAGCTCACCGCAACCTTTGCCTCCCAGGTTCAAGCGATTCTCCTGCCTTAGCCTCCCAAGTAGCTGGGACTTCAAGAGCATGCCACCGCGCCTGGCTAATTTTTTGTATTTTTAGTTGAGATGGAGTTTCACCATATTAGCCAGGATAGTCTTGATCTCTTGACCTCGTGATCCACCAGCCTCGGCCTCCCAAAGTGCTGGGATTACAGGTGTGAGCCACTGCGCGCGGCCTAAAGAATTTTTTAAAAGCCAGCACACTGTTTTTATATTATGCATTTATTTAATAGTATTGAAGTTGAGTCTTTCAAATGCGTATAGTCTTTTGTATTTTCTTGCCACTGAAGAGACTGTTCACATGTTTTCAATTTTTGTAGGATTTTCAATCACCTTTTTCTATTTTTTAATTTGTCCTTTATAATTAAATTAGTTAATTGACCAATGTTATATTTATTTAAAATACCCCAGGTTAATCTCATGTATCCTAGCATTTGCTAGCCAGTGTTAGTATCTACTCTCTATTACCTATACCATAAACTCTAATCTATTTAATCTGCCAGTTAATCCCTTCTATGATGTGAGTTTTTTTTAAGTTTTTACTTTTTCTTTTGTTAACTTTTTAACTAAAACTTGTGGTATTTCTAAACTCACTTTTAAATTCTATCTGGCATGAGCCCAGGATTACTATGGTATACAAGAAATATTTGCTGCACTGATCAACTCACCATGGCCACCCACTCCTGGGGTCCCAGACAGCTTATTCTTAAAGATAGTACCTAGCTCTCAGAGTGTTAGCACCTCAGTTACATTTCCCCATCTGAGATGTCTCTAGGAATTTGAGGACAGGGCCTGAAATCAATCAGTTATTCTAATAATAAACTATTCTGAGCCACTTGTAAAAGCAATGTGATAATATGAATGTGTTTTTCACAGTAGAAAAAGTTAAAGACAGTCCTCATCACGTGACGGTAACAGTTTTGGTAGTTTTTCATTCTTTTACCTTTAAAAGAATTTACATAAAGTGTAACAATATCTGGAAAATGGTAATCTCACAATAAATGTTAAAAAGCATCATTTTTATTAAATGAGATCATTGTAATTATAGTTTTTGATAGTTTAGATTATTATTACTCTTCCTGTCCCTGATCTTAGGTTGATGAATTCTACTTTCCCTCTCAAGTGATGTGTCCTTGACTGTATGACTTGCTTTGACCAATAGGAGGTTGGCAAAAGTGATGTATGCAGAATTAATATACAGTATGTACTTGTGCAGCTTAACTTGGCTTTTGCACCTTACTGATTCACCATGAGAAAACTATGCCCCAGGTACCTGTTGTTTTTAGAATCTGGGCCCCAAAACAAAAGTTCATGGAACAGTTCTAAATGTAACCCAGAGCCCAGAGCCATGTTCAACTGGATCTGCATCCTGACACAAAGCCACCCAGCTGAGACCATCACAGGCTCAGCAAAATCACAGTTGACCAGTACCCCCTTCACTGAGTGTGAGAATAAATGCTTACTACTGTAAGCCACTCAGTTTGAGGATTATTTGTTATATCATTTGGGTGGTAGCTTAAAGGTATAGCACTGGTGCCCATGGCATTCATAATAACAGTAATAGGTTGTCAAATGCTTACCATAGCTTTTCTCATTTGATCTGCCTACAACTATAGATGTTGTATTATCCTTAGACACAGAAAACTTAACATATTGAAATAAAAATATAATGTTATAAACCTAGCATTACAACCCAGCCTTTCTGAATTTAGTATCCCTGTTCTTAGTGACCATAACATACAGTCTCACCAGATGTCCAAAATATGACTCCTCAAGAAAATAACACAATGTGTTTTAAGGTCTTTGCAAGCATATCAGATATTGTTTCCATGTAAGTATGAATCTGGCCTAATCTGACATGAAAAGTACAAAATAAAGCAGTAATTCCTCATCTCAGTTATTCCTGGGAATTGCCCAGTGGTGGCAGCGAGGAGAGCATGAGGATGTTCAGGGTTCAGCATGGACATTCTAAAACAGAAACTTCAGGACTAGGGACTATGTATATTTATTTAGAATAAGTTATTTAGTCAACCTTGCAGGAGCCAGAATTTCATCTCTCCAAGGGACTCTTAGGGTAGGAATAGTGATTTTTACTAAGAAAAAGTCTTAGTTTATACTTTATTTTCTAAATGCCAAGTGACTCGGACCTCCATTTTTACTTAGAAAGAATGTCATGTCCAGTATACTGAGCTCAATATGGACTCATTAAGGAAAACTTTATGTTCCCCATCTTAACTGTTTAAGGAGTATAGCATCATGAAAAGGTCATGACATTACAAGTCAAAAAATCTCTGGTTCCAATCCCATCTCTGTCTTCCTACCTGTGTGACTTTAGACATGCCACCTAAACTCTCAAAATTTAACTTTAATTATTTTTAAAAATACAGTATAATTTTCCTTATCGAGTAGGTTTTTGGGGGAGGATTTATGAAGATAATATATTTTAGAACATCCTGTTTAATGGCACAATTTGGTCTGCATTCAGTACACATCAGGAATTATGATCCTTTCTTATATATATTAAGTTGTATGGAAGACACGTGGAAATAAGAAAACAAAGACTGTAAAACTCTCAATTTTTAAAAGTCCTGTGAGCATAGGAGGCTGGATGAGTGCTTTTCCTCAAAAAAACACAATCCAGGAGTCAGAGCCTAAGTTTACTTAGGAAATAGGCCTCAGGATACTATTGCCTTCACAGCTTGTCTTTGCTGTCAAAAAAAGAAACCAGGCTTCTAATTGGCTGTGACCACAGAGCCTTGGACCAGAATCCCAAATTTACAAAATAAAAAGTTGTCTCCAGGTAGTGAAACTGATCTGGAATTCTTCTTTCTTTATTTTCTAAATTCATGAAAAGATATAATAATGTAACTCATCCATAGTCATTCATTTACATAATATCTATATGCATGCTTGCCTATCCCTAATTTAGAGCAATATTAACTTTTTGATACTTAAAAGATTGTTAGTTTTTTTTTAAATAAATTCAAAGGATATAGTGGGTATTAAACAACAGACAATGTAATTGTTTCTATACAAAATAATATTTTTTCGTATGTCAACCTATCCCGCCCTGTTTTCCAGATAGGCAAAGCAAATTCTCAGCCCTATATTCCTACTGGAAAATGGAAACCTAAAGATGTTAAGTGATATGCCCAAGAAACTACAGGAAATATAGGCAAGAAATATATATATTTTTTAAAATACTGACACAGTGCTCATTTTACTAAAACTTGCTGAAACTTTGGGAAATTGTGTCCTGTTAGAAATCAGCATGCGTATCAAGGTAAGAAACTTCAATATCTCATTTATTTTCTCAGTTATTACCACACCTCTCAATTACTGGAAGAACATTCAGTTTCATTAATCTCAAGACAGGGGACCAACTCTTTTTATTTTTTTTAAACCCTGGTTTCAGTGTGTCCAGAAAAGAGGTCTATATATTGCTGTGTAGATATATAGCTAAATAGGTACCTCAGATGATGAACTGCTATAGAGACAAAGTATCCAGAAACAACTCTTTGAAGAAGGAATGAGCGAGAAGCCAAATCTGATTACTGAGAGGTGAAATTTATGATGAACACAGTGTCAGAAGGAAAATCACAAATCAGAGAATTGAGTGGTGAGCTGAGTTCAAAAGGGTTCAAGACCATGTCAAGGTCTCATAGTGAGCAAGTGGCAGAGTTTGGAGCCACGCGGTTGACTGCTATGATCAGATGTGCTCAACAGTTTTGATGGTGGGTAGAGATTTGGATGGATGGGTGCATGCCTGCATGAAAGTGAGAATAAATTTTAATTCATAATCTAGAAAACAATCAACATCATTCAACATAATGGATGGCATGGAAACACATGGGAAAAAAGATATGTTGTCTAAAAAAGTGCTCTGCTTTTGTTAAAAACATTATTTGGAAAAATAAATAAATAACATATTGCAATAGGGTGGTGAATATTCTCATGTTGGGTTTCCAAATGTCCTTCCCTTAACAAATAGGTCAATTTAAATAGATGATGCAAACAAGGAAGAGCTCTTTCCTTGGAGAAAATGCACAGTATGTCTTCCCCTTATCTAGTTTGGTACAAGGGAAAGTCTGCATGAGGCAGGGACTTGGTTTTGGCTGTGGCCATAAGATGGTGACAAGTACTGAACACTCAGGATCTGTTTTTTTATCCTGTTCCTGCTGAGTTCCTCCTGTCTTTCCAAAAATTACTCACTATCACCAAGTCTCGGACCCAGGTTTCCTCACTAGTAAAATAAAAAGGCTCATTTGGCGATTTCTGAAATTATAAGTTTAGTCTACCTAGATTCTCTTCTTGTCCAGAAAAAAGCCAAGGGCCATATGAATGAATCCCTTATAAAATTATTTTTGCTTTGAGATGCCCATGACTTCAGCTCTGGCTTCAGAATGTTTCTATTGCTTCATATAATCACATTCAAAGTCATTTTAATTGTTTTTTTTCTTTGCATGCCTACTGTTCTGTGTTCATTTTTCTCTGCACCTAATTTGATGGCAAAGTAAGGCCAGGAATATATAGAAATCCATCCTCTAGCCATTGCATTAATTGATGCCTGGGAGTAAGGCAATGCTATCTAATGAGACTGAATCAAGTGATTGGTACAAAATGCTGATTTTCAAATACATTTTATCTAACCATTTGAGCTGCCTTGAAAATTGGCATAATTTAACAGTCTGAGCCTCTAAGATAAGGTAATTCTTGATTCATATTTTTCATTTCACAGGAGAGGGAATGAGAAGGCAAGGTTTGATGTGAGTGACTTCAGTACCTATTGACTGTAACAGAGTATACTTTTCAAACACACATGAAAAAAATGTAAATTATTAAATTACCTGAAGTGATTCTGAATAAGTAGACCCACCCTAACATCTACTACAAATGAAGCTTCTCTTTTCTTAAAAAAAAAAAAAGCCCCTCATAATCAAAGGACTATGAATATTCAGAATAAAAATGGGATTAGAAAATTTTGTGATGCTTGTACAATGAGAGGAAAGAAATGAGATTGTTAATTCATTGGGTCACATCATTTCCATTCCAGATTCCATGGTTTAACACTTCTTCCTCACTACAGAGGATTCATTATGAAGTAAAAGCAATTGTAGAATACATTTTCCTGAATAATGGCAAGAAAACTGCCATATAATTACTGAGAATTAAAAACGAAAATAATGCGTGTGTGTGTTCACATGTGTGAGCACACATTTTGCAATATACGCATAAGAATAAGCATTGATGAGAGGCAGAGTAAATGTTATGAACCCTATTTCCATAGAGTAAATCAAGTTATATGAATGTGAACCCCAAATATCTGAGACAGATCTCAATTTAGGAAGTTTATTTTGCCAAAGTTAAGGACACGCCTGTGACACAGACTTAGGAAATCCCGAGGACATGTGCCTGTGGTGATCAGGGTACAGCTTCTTTTATCCATTTTAGGGAGACATAAGGCATCAATCAATATATGTAAGATGTACAATGGTTCAGTCTGGTAAGGCAGGACAACTGGAAGTGGGGCCTTCCAGGTTAGAAGTAGATAAGAGACAAAAGGTTGCATTATTTTGAGTCCTTGATCAGCCTTCCACTGAATACACGTTTAGTCTGGGTCAGTGAGTTTGCATTTTTACATAAAAAATAGGGCAGAAGGGCCGGGCGCAGTGGTTCATGCCTGTAATCCTGGCACTTTGGGAGGCCAAGGTGGGCGGATCACCTGAGGTCGGGACTTCGAGACCAGCCTGACCAACATGGAGAAACCCCATCTCTATGAAAAATATAAAAATTAGCGGGGCGTGGTGGCACATGCCTGTAATCCCAGCTACTTTGGAGGCTGAGGCAGGAAAATCACTTGAACGCGGGAAGCGGAGGTTGCGGTGAGCCAAGATTATGCCATTGCACTTCAGCCTGGGCAACGAGCTTAAAAAAAATTATATAAATATATATATATATATTTGTTTCAGGTGAACCTCAGAAGGATGACTTTGAGTTCTGTCTGTCTTTTATCCACAGGAATTTCCTTGTGGGCAAATTGTGAGGGAGGTAGCTTTGCCCTAAGCAGTTCCCAGCTTGACTTTTCCCTTTAGATTAGTGATTTGTGGGAAGGGCCGGATGGTTCAAAATTTATTTTCCTTTCTCAACTCTATAAATTCAGTGAAAACATGTCCTCTTTCTTTCAAAAATGAAAATCATTATTGTCTGCCTACGTTCCAGCAACTGGGTAGTGCCATAAAATGCTATAAAGTTGATTATGGCAAGATCTCTATTCAGAGGAACAGAATGATCAAGTAGAAGAGACACACCTGTAAAATATCAGTTCAATATACGGTAGAAGATACTGTGATTATATTTGCCTCATTTGGAATGTTTTAATATACCCTGACAGTCTAACTAAAATCTAAGTTCACTGCTTCCCAATCTGCTTGCATTTCACTGTTTTCTAAGCTGCCTTTTGTTGTCCTGCCAGAGCAACCATTTTTCTAGAATGTGAAAAGCTGATTACGTCATCTTCCCAACACTACTTCTGGAAAAACAAATCTGGTTATGGGATTTTCTGAAACTGTGTACACATTGATGATAAATCACAAACAAATTGTAATTTCGGAGATAAATAACTTTTCCCCTTGCTTTTCAATATTAGAAAATAGTTTTGTGTAAGTTATTTGATACATTGATATATGAATCAAGCCATTGAGTTTTATCTTCACAAACACAATATTTATGTGATAACATGAAGAGGAGGAAAGCTGATTGCTCATGAACAAAAAGGTCATAAAATCATGAAAAATGACTATGGGAGAAAATACTATTTTTGATATTTTCAGCTCCTACCTAAAAAGGTGGGTGCGCACGCACACACACACACACACACACACACACACACACACACACATATATATTTGTAACCCTATTTTTAGAACTCTAAAGCAAAAACTGTACTAGATTCTCAAAAATAAGGCAATCTTTATTCACTGTTACATCAACAGGTATACATTGTAAGAACTATATAAAAATACAGTGTCCAAAACAGAATAACTAGAGCTCAAGAAAGAAAAAAAAAAGATGATATATTGAATGAGCCAAGATTTCAAACTGTGCCTAGAGACTCTAAACTCAGCTACATCCCAGCTGGTTTGTGAATTATATGCTAATGGGTCTTACCCATAATAATAATATATATGTGTCTTCTATTTGATTTATCATTAAGCACCTACATTTAAGTGGAAATGAGTACCTAAATTTTCTCTCTTTATATGCCTCACCAATCCTTTTTCTCTTTATTTCAATGATGTTGCTATCTTTTCATCCTACACTAATCGGCTGTACTTATATCTGCTGATGTTCAAGTCACTGCAAAATGCCTTGCCATTTTGGAAATGCATTAAATTCAAATCAAAATAAAAAAGTTCCTAAGTATCCCAGCAATCACGTAGGAAGAGTCTTTGTGGCTACTTCACCGAGAGCATGTGGAAGAAAAGGGGCTTATTTTATGCTTGTCACAAAAACTGAAATGGAACGAGAAGAGGATAAAGACAAGCCCCTTATCTTTTCCTCAAGTTTCACCAATTTATATGTTATTAAGGGTCCAGACATCAACTATGACCTGTCTTACTTCTGACTTACATGATGTCAGAGAAGAAACAGTTTACAAACATTCCGTTACCTTATTCCCTTTCTCTGTATTTTCTCTACTAAATACGCACAATACAAATTCATGTTGAAAGGCATTCTTACCATGATTCTGACTATGAACTCTCACCGCACAAATATGCAGTCATTAGTTTATGTTAAACCACACAAAAAATTTAAGGATAATAGAATTTCTCTGTGACAAAAGGGTAAGAATGAGAGGAAAAGGTAAATGGATTGTAATTATTTTTCATGGATTGAAGATTATTCGGGGTCACATAAGATTCATCTTCTATTCTAGTAAAGGTTAGAATAGATAAATTCAAACAGGGGTGTATTTCATTCAGAACGTCCACAATGAAATGAAGATACTTTTTCACGTGAACAGCTTAGTTTAGGCTTAAAAGCTAATATTCTGAGAGGTTTTATAATTTGAAATGACTATCCAGGAAAGCTGTGGGATTCATTGCTGTAGTGGCATCTGTATTATACAGGCTCCCACCATTCTTAGTCACGTTACATTACATTTTTCATTCATCCTTTCTTTCAACGTTTATTTATTGAGCATCTACTATGTGCCAGGACGTGGCAAATAGACTAATATTTATTGATTGATTTAGTTTTCACTGGATCACTCAATCACCTTTTCAAATATATTCCATAAGCTCTTGTTTGTCATGTGGCAGTCATTATAGTAGGTAATAGCACACACAAAATCTGTATAAAAAAATAAAAGTTCTACATTTGATAAATTTAGATATTTATGAAAAAGACAAAACCTGTTTCAATACAGTATAATATGTAATAAAATAGGAATATGTCTATGGTGGTGCAAAGAATTAACTGTTAGAAGAATCATAGAAAACTTCACAGAAGCGAAGGCACATGAGTTGGATGGTAATGAATAAATAGAAATGTGGGTGGGCATGGTGGCTTAAACCTCTAATCCCAGCATTTAGCGAGGCTGAAGCGAGTGGATCACTTGAGGCCAGGAGTTTGAGACCTGTATGGCCACCATGGCGCTCCCCTGTCTCTGCTAAAAATGCAAAAATTAGCTGGACATGGTGGCACACTCCTGAAATGCCAGCTACTTGGGAGGCTAAGGCACAAGAATCGCTTGAGCCTGGGAGGCGGAGATTTCAGTGAGCTGAGATCATACCACTGAACTCCAGACTGGGTGAGAGAGCGAGACTCTGTCTCCAAAAAAAAAAAAAAAAAAAAAGTATTGGTAAGTAAGACAACTCATGTGTAAATGGTTTTGTGTGTTTGAAGATCTATGTGAGTTCCATGAAACTCAGATCAGTAGTTCTCAGTGAGGTGCAATTTTGTGCCCATGGGACATTTGGTAATGTCTGGACGCGTTTTTAATTGTAATGACTTGTGGGGCAATATTATAGAAATTTAGTGAGTAGAGGCCAGGGATGCATCCAATCATCCTACAATGCACAAGACAGCTCCTTTACCCAACAGCAAAAATGGTTCAGCTCAAAATGTCAGTAGTGATTTAAAGAAAGCTGGTAGAAGGTCAGTAGGAAAAGAAGTTAGAAATGAAGTCAGCAAACCCAAATATGGAGCTTTAACATTTTCTTATGTGTGATGGATGGGAAGTGATATCATTTTAGCAGAATAATTACATTTTTATATTTATTTCCAGGATAACTCTATAAGCTGAAATATAGAAGATACATTTGTTTTCACTAATATTGAATGCTATATAACTATAATTATACTATTAGTCACAATAATTTACATGCAATAGCATGTAGTGGAGATGAAAGTTTAGGAAAGCTCACTACCTCACTCTGTGCAACATATATGAAAAGATTTACATTTGAAGCAAGATGTAAAGAAATATATATTTCTTTTATGTACCTAGAGCAGTTATTATTTCAATTATTTCAGCTTGAACTTCCCTGCTATTTTTTTCTCCTTATCTTTTAAAATATTTTAACTTTTGAAGACTCTGGGTCCTTGACAATTTGTTGGATGAGATCATCACTGATGGTAGTAGAATTTAAGAACATTTGCTCACATTATAAATTTCAAACTAGGCTTGTTTGATTAATTTTATTAAGGAAGTTCTACCACAATTAAACGCCAAGTATCTGGCATGTAACATATTCAGGTAGACACTTAAATTTTATGGAGACAAAAATATGTACATAGGCTTCTCCTGTCAATTTCTAATATTCTGCATTTTAAAAATTTCTTTTACTATGAAATTTGGAAACCCTCCCTTATTCTTTTGTGTGTTTAAGCAAAATAAGTGTCTGTGACTCTTTTGGAAGATGCTTTACAGATGGACAGGGCTCTGTTTTTGCATTAAATAGAACCAAATGCCATGCTTCATTGGTACAGCAACCAGCATTTATGCAAATCTGAAGAGTAGGCAGGTGCAAGAGCAAATTTCTTAATGCCATTTGCTCTGAAAATTATATAAATCCTCTAAAGCTATGCTTTTTATAGTAGTTAAAGGATTTTTGTTTGGTATTTTTTAAAAATAACACCTGCTCCAGGCAGAAAAGTGCCCATCCAGCGGGAAGTGGGTTGCTTTTTGTGGGGAAGGAGTCCCAGCTCTTGTCTCTAAGAAATAATAAGACAATAAATGAAATATATTTTGAAAATGCTGGGGAGGATGGTTTAGGTAAAAGGAGGAGAGTGAGATGGGAGAGATTTTGCTTTTTGCACTGACAGATGCAGGCAAATGGCAGCAATTCAGCTCAGCCAAAGAGATGGCAGAACTCCACGGGACTCCATCTGGGGCCTGTTTCTTTGGCCTGTGAAGCCTGGCAGAGCCTTTCCCTGGTAGGCCTATATTTCCCTTTCTCTTTCCACCCTGGCCTAAAATAAGAAGGACTTTGTGTACAATTATCTGATTAACTCTCAAGAGCTAATGACTCTCATTTGTTTGTTTGTTGGTTTTTTTTCTTGATGAACTTTCCTTCATCCTTTCAACACACGGCCATAGACTCAACAGTGAGTAATTAAGATCAGAGATTTGTTTATTCTGATTCCTTTCATCAAAGCTGAATTCTCCCTGACAATATATTTTGGTAACCTCCTTATTTTCAAAGAGAGGTAGATTGTGTTTTAATGTTTTAATGACATGATGTCTCAATATATTTGTCTGCTCTTGGAGACACTAGTAGTTCACTCATATATTTTTTTTTCCTTTAAGGAGGTCTTACCATGTGTTATCAAGAACTGGTGGGGCTAGAAATGAAAAAACTCATTTTTCATCCTAGTTGTGTCATTAACTCCTTTCAGCCACTCAGTCATGTAACTTTTTAAAAATTTTTTTCTGAATATAATGGCATTATGGATATGAAAGCCATCTTCCCATTCACCTCCAAGGTTGGTCACCTGTTCTGAGTTTCTGTACTGATGTTCCACTCTCTTAAACATCCCCACGTACATCCCCCTGAAAATTATCATACAAAGAAAAGAGTAAAAAGCTTTTTAGAAAGAGGCAGGTTTACTCTTATTTGGTAAAAGATAAACAAGACATAAGCACCAGCTTTATATCCAGTGCTGTGCTAGGTGTTAGAAATATGATATGAGTAGCATTTAGCCCCTCTCGATAGAAAGCTCAAAATCCTCCTAAGATTTAAATGTAGAAATATATCATGATTATAAAATAGTATATATTTATTTGGTATATCAAATAATGGAATAGACACTCTTATGGGTGGTTTTAACTGACATTACTACTTATTAATCTATGGTGTTAAGCACATACCTATTCTCTGTGGTCAGTTTCTCTTCATTTTTCCCTTCCAAATACACCCAACACCTTGCTCTCAGTGTCAATGTATTTACTTCCTAAGTTTCTCCCCTTCAGAGTACATTTGAACTGTTTCCCTCAGCTAACAGCCCTACCTCTTCTCAATGTGGTTTTCCTACAAGCTTTTCTTCTATATACTTTCTTTACTCTCATTCCTTTGGGGTTATGGGTAGCAACCACCCTGTTGTTACTATCCCCACAGCTCAGGAAGGGACATCCCTGGTATTTCCCATGCATTCCATCTATATCTTTTAAAATTTTTTTGTTGGCTAGGCACAGAGGCTCAGACCTGTAATCTCAGCACTTTGCGAGGCCTAGGCAGGAGAATAGCTTGAGCCTAGGAGTTCCAGACCAGACTGGGCAATATAGTGAGACCCCTGTCTCTACAGAACATTTTAAAAATTAGCAAAGCATGGTGGCACATGCCTGTAGTCCCTGTAGTCCTAGCTACTCAGAAGGCTTAGATGGGAGGATTGCTGAGCCCAGGAGGTGGAGGCTGCAATGAGCTGAGATAGCACCATTGCACCTCAGCCTGGGCAACAGAGTAAGACACTGTCTTAATAATAATAATTAAACATTTCCATTAATAAACATTCCTAAAATTATAATAAATGAATATATCATTAATTCCTGCTAATTAATGTACAATTTAAGTAGAGAGGGGTGCAAAGCTGTCCTTGAAATGAGATTATCGGAAAAGGTGGCATTTCATAGTCATCAATATACAGGAAATCAGAGAACCTCAAGGGAATAATTAAAAATTTGATGTCTTAAGTCTATTTCCTAGGATAGCAGGTTCATAGTTGGAGGCTTACATATTAAGAGAATTCTCAGGATCAACACTCGTATGGGAGTGAAGGCAGTAGGGTTGGTCTGACACGGGGGAATTCAACTGTGATTGAGCTGCAGTAAAAGGCTCACAATAGCTTGGGGAACACTGGGGATGGGTCGGCCCATCAGAGTTGTCCTGCCTTCAGATGAGGCAGCTAGGCTTCATCATTAAAGGGGCATCTTGGATGAAGCAGCTGTCTTGGAAAAATTCCCCAAAGAAGACCAACTGACAGCCCTCTGCCATTTACACTTTCAGCTTCCACTGGAGAAAGAGTGCCTTGGTCCAAAAGGGAAGATCTGAGTAGCAGGAACGGCACAATACTCACTACATTTGGTATGGAAGGACGTCAGGCTGTGTTTGGGGGAGTATTAGAGGAAAAAGGGGAAACATGTTATGAAAAGTCTTGCTAGCAGAGCTAATGACGTTTAACAAGTTATCTACGCTTTCTGAGACTCATTGTGATGTTTAACAAGTTATCTACACTGTCTGAGACTCATTTGATCATAAAAAGCAAGAGTTGGTTTTATCTCTGAGATTTTTCAGGATTTAACTTTCCTTCAGTGTACCCGGATCCTGTTCTCATGAATGTTAACAAGAAATTAATAATTAGGAAGCCAAATATGTTTGCCATATCACCTGGTCTTTTTTTATTTTATTTACTTATTTATTTTTAGAAACAGGCTCTCTCTGTCACCCAGGCTGGAATGCAGTGGCAGGATCCTAGCTCACTGCAGCCTCAAACTCCTGGGCTCAAGTGATCCTTTTGCCTCGGTGTCCCAAAGTGTTGAGATTACAGGCATGAGCCACTATGCCAGCCCAACACTGGTCTTATGGAATGAGCCCTCAATTAACCTCTTCAATCAGAGAAAGCAAAAAATGACTTTTATTGAATGCCTACCCTACCCCAGCCACTGTGCTACTTTCTAATCCGCGTAAGTAGGTTGTATCTGTATTTTGGAGTTATTTATGTCTTATGTACATTATAATTAAAGGTGTACACATTTTCCCATCTGCTGCTCTGTCAAGGTTAGACCATTGATATTTTACAAGCACTAACATCGGGTGAGATTCATATTCTGCTCCTTAGGAGTTATGAGACCTCTGACTGATTCATTAAGTTAACTCAACCTTGGTTTCTTCATTGGCAAAAATGAAAACTCATTTCCATTTTTCTAAAATCTATAACATATATGAAATGCCCTATAGAGTGCATGGAAGATAAAATGTACTCAATATTTTATATTATCTCTACTCAATATTTTATATTATCTCTCCCCGCTCTTGTCATATGTTTTCTTCTTACAGTTCCTTTTATGCCTTCTTTCTTCCCGGATTTCTATTTCCTTCCTGGGGTGCTCCTTGAAAACAGAGTATGTGCATAACATATCTTAATTTTGAAATGGTTAAACAATGCCTATGTTTTAACAAGTGCTTTTCTAGGCACAGTCTCTGGGCCACCAATATCAGAGTCATGAGATTTCTTTATAAAATGTAGAATCATAGTCTGTAGTTCAAAATATTGGATTCAGAATATCTGAGGTTATACTTATCCATTTTATCAACATTATCAAGTTAGTCTTATACATGTAGAAATCTGGGAATTAGTGATTCAAGAAATTCAGGAAAAATGTTTGCTAAAAACACAAATGTGTGATGTGATTGTTCCCAATATTCTTCTCTTAAGAAAATGAGGATGGTCAGAAAAAAAAAGATAAACATATTTATTTTAATATACTAACCATTTTGTATTAATAGTTTAAAGATAAAATAATGAGAGGGCATACTGTAGTTAGATTGGGTTAACTATGTTCTAGGAGATGTTAAATTAGGAAAGATGCTGGGTCCAATTAGAGTCCCCAGAGATTCATGCCTCAGTGAGATAATTAGAGAATTAAGGATTTTTTATTCAAAATGTGGTTATTAATAAGAGATAAAAGTTTCTAAGATCTTTGGCATTATTCTAAATGAACCAGGTTCTTCTGCTACAGAAAGATTCAACATAAATAAGACTCATGAACTAGAACTAGAAACTAGAGAATCACGGACATCCATATAATGTAAAAACTTTGATAACAGACTTTTCCATCATCCCCCTTAACCATTTATCTGTTTTGAGGGTCAAGGAAAAGTTATGTTAAGGTTTCTGAGAAATATGTCTAATGTGTAATTTTTCTGAACTCTTAATCCATTTTGCTTCTGTCTTCTGCTTTTTCAGCTTTGAGTCTAGAGGAGTTCCAATGAGCATAGTACAATTCCTTTGATACTTCTGTTGATTTCACTCTAAATGTTGATGTTTTATACCTTAGCTTTAATCAAAAACTGTTTTGTTTCTTAATTTTTACCATGGGGCAGGTCTGGTTCTACCATATCATCATTTGTATATCATCTCTAGAAATATGATTCTACTGCTTTTGGGACTGGGTTGCTGTTATTTCCCAACTAAATATGCCCTTATCCTCATCAAAAATAATACACGGACTCTCTTGCTAGTATTCTGTGAAATTTTTAAAGCCTGGAAATCCCTAGGAACTGAAATTGAGACCAATCTCTGCTAAGCATTGGAAATAAACTATAGATGCTTCTTAGCAAAATGTGTAAACACCAAAAGAATAAAGAAAAACAAATGAATTTTTGTTGCCAGAATCAGGAATCCTCTCTTTTATGAAATGAGCTAATGACTAATACTTATCTCCAGTTTCCAATAGCTTTGGGTCATTTATAAAAGTTGAATACACTTATACATACATATGTTTTCATCCAAATGTGGAAGCATTTTCTCCCTAAACTTATGCCTAACCTGGCTTAATTTTTACTTCATTAGGTGCATTTTATCTATATGATGCCCTAACTTGACATTCTACTGATTCTTATTTGTATCTTCACTAGCATACAATTTATCTTTCCTCTTTGTCTTATATAATTTCTAAGATTTTCTCTATTTACCAGCCTTAATTCTACAGAAATCAACCCAAATCATAGTTAATTACCTAGCATTCAGCCAGAATTGCCCCAGCTCTCTTAATAATAGGTACTGTAATACCGTGGCTAAATATTCTTCCTATTCATCTGCCAACGTGTGAATTACATAGCAAGATGAACTTAAAAAAAATTCACCTTTCTACATCATCTATTTTTGTATGCTGAGCACAAAACATGTCTCTGGATTCTGTTATCTAATTGTGTCCTCAAACCTCACAAAGGATTATGCCAAAATCTAGGCAATAATTTCAGTGTATGGATCATTAAGGTAAGAGACAAGATTTACCTTTGGCATTCGGGAGGACTCTTGAGTGATCGAGATAATGGAAGCAACAAAGTTAATATAATAGAACGTCATTACAGCATGTTTACAGAATGTCATTTTGGATAATTACGTTTCCCACAGTGTTAGTTTGAGTCAAAGTAGATGTAGAGGTTGTGTATAGCTTATAAAAGAGGTCACAATTGCATTGAAAAACAAAACAAAACCACTAGAAACAAAGGAAACATAATAGCATCTTTTCAACATATTTCCTGTTTTTATAAAAGCACTCTTTAAAAATAAGTTATTTTATAAACCAAATATATGATACATCTAGGATTAGTGATTTAAAACATTGTCTAAAGAAAACAGCACAGCACATAGTTTACTAAAAAACAGAAATGTAAGCAAATGGTGATGCTTCCATTTAGGGCATTCCTTGGGGAGCAGGGGTGAAAACGGGGATAGTAATGGAGACAGGGTTTAGGGTAGGGGAGTGGATGAGGGTGGGTGTGAAGATGGGGATGGAGGTGGGGATGGGGGGTGAGAATGGGGTTGGAGGAAACGAGGGGGTGGAGATGGGAATAGGGTGAGGATGGGGTTGAGGTTAGGATTGTGAAGGTGGGGATGCAGATGGAGGTGAGGTTGGGGAGGGGATGGTGTGGGGACAGGAGTATATACATAATATGCATATATTATATATAGTATATATAAATATATATGTGAATATATAATAAATATGTATATGTGTGTGTGTATATATATACACACACACACACTCCTGTCCACCCCATCCCCATACGCAACCTCACTTCCATCTGCATCCCCACTTCCACAATCCTAACCTCACTTGCTACTTGGGGACACATGTATACATATATATACACTTAGAGAACCAAAGCTATGGTATGGGTTTTTATTTGCAATAGACAATCAGATTCATAAAACAAAAATAAGCTTTCATCTTACACTATGTTAGCTTAGTTTTATGAAAGTATGCAGGGCAATAAATGCATCAAGTATAGCATCTTCATCATTGAGAGACCTGACAGCTTCTAGAGTGAGCACATAGCCTCTTTCATCTCCTCACCTATATGGGCCATGCATGGCTTCTATAAATAAGACCCAAGATATCTGCAAGTCACTTTGATACAGAAAAGAAGCCACCTCAGGCTTCCACCAATCTTTTATGCTATTTGAGTCACATAGGTTTAAAATTGTCCTGACCACACAGCTCTACAAAACCAGGTGTGTCACCAAGTAGCAAGTGAAGCACCACTATATTCTGCATTTATCTTAACCCTAGAGTTCCTAAGGAAATATGACTGTGACATAAGAAATACAAAGTTCAAGGTCCCTCCAAGCCAAATCTGCAGAAACTGGGTCTAAGAAATCTGCTAATCACAACCATATAATAACCGTAAAATTTGGCAAATGCTAACATATAGGTATGTGAATTTCTATGGAATAAAAATAAAAGTATTTAATCCTAAGTGGGATATGCAGAAAAGGCTTTACACAGGAGATTACATTTGTGTTTATTGAGAAAATAAAGAAAAATTTTAGTGGCTGGAAATAAAGCTTGGAACAATTTAGGCAGAAGAAAGAGTAGGTAGAAAAACAGACTTTTAGATATTTGAGGTAGGGTATTGAGACTTCAAGATGCTGGAAATATTTTGAGGACAGAATTCAAGGGATATGAAACTAGAAGGAAGGCCAAGCCCAGTTGATTGGACTCTTTTGAATTAAAAATATTAATACTTTTTCTGCAATTATTTTGACCATTCACGAATGCCTTGATTTATGTTTACATTATGAAAATATCAACATAAGTCACTATTAATCATGAGGCTATTCATAATTATGGAAAACAAAAATCACCTGAAATAGCAAAGGAAGATTTACTCCCCTCCACTTGAAGAAATATTGTATGTTTATTAATAAGGAATGGATATGTTGGATGTGTGTCAGGAAAGGTTATACCCCACAGTATATTAGGCATTTCTGAAATAAGGGAAATTGGAAGAAATTAGACCAGGGAGAGTAGAAGTACCAAAGTTTCCCAATTGAGAATGGAAAATTCCTGATATACTGTCATCATAAATAACACAAATATTTTGTGATTTATTGTTTGCCGATACAGGATGTCTTAGAATAAAGTTTACGGTTTTATGTAAGCTAGATATATCTACTCCTCCCTCCAAAAATTTATTAAAGCATTTTTTTCTACTCATAGCAAAATGTTAACATCAAGCCAAGTTTCTATGATTTCTCTGACAATGCTGAAATAAAAATATGTCACAGGGACAAAAAGACTCTGAGTTAAATCCCAGGGAATTAAAGTGATTTTTTTCTGAAATCTCCTGCATTGTTACATTAGTACTTGTATGTCTTTGAAAATTTATATTGAACTGATATGGCTTCTTATAAAATGATTTAATTTAATACCAAAATCAGTGATTTAACTAAGCATAATTTAGAAGAAATTAGGATGCTGCTTATTGCATTCTCTTTAACCAAGACTTTATGACTATTTTGATTTTTATTACAAAAAAGTGCATAGTTATTTTGGGAGTGTTTACTTCATTCTTTAACATCCATTCTTTAACATTTCACAGCCACAACCAGTTTAGTTACATGCTTAGAGCAAATTTACCTCCTTGACTACATTTTTTAAAATTCTGTATTTAGAAGCTGTATTTTTAATTTTTCTTCACTTTAGAAATCAAAGTGGCTATTATTTTTTTAAAAGATGCTGACAAGGTTGCAGAGAAAATAGAACATTTATACATTGTTGGTAAGGGTTTAAATTAGTTCAACCATTGTGGAAAGCAGTACGGCAATTCCTCAAAGAGCTAAAAGCAGAAATAGCATTCAACTCAGCAATCTCACTACTGGGTATATACCCAGAGGAATATATGTCATTCTACCATAAAGATACATGCAGGTGAATGTTCACTGCAGCACTATTCACAAAATCAAAGACATGGAATCAACCTAAATGCCCATCAATAACAGATTGGATAAAGAAAATGTGGTACACATACACCATGGAATACTATGCAGCCATAAAAAGAATGAGATCATGGCTTTTGTGGGAACACGAATGGAGCTAGAGATTATTATCCTTAGCAAATGAATGCTGGAACAGAAAACCAAATACTGCATGTTCTCACTTATAAGTGGTAACTAAATGATAAATCCTCACAAATACAAAGAGGTGAACAACAGACACTGGGATCTACTTGAAGGCGAAGGTTGAGAGGAGGGAGAGGAGCAGAAAAGGAAATTATTGGATACTAGGCTTAATATCTGGCTGATTAAATCATCTGTACAACAAACCCTGTGACACAGTTTCACCCGTGTAACAAATCTTCATATGTACCCTCAAACCTAAAATAAATGTATTAAAAAAGGACAATTATATATATGTTTCCGACAATGGATTCTATGCTCATTTATTAACAATTTGGAAGTTCAAAAAATGTAAAGAAGTAAATAATACCACCCATACCCTCCAACTTGGGTGAAATCACACCCACAGTTGTTATGGTTTCTTCTAGAAATTTTCATATTTTAAAATATACATCCTGATATTTTCTCACCTAACATCAAGATGTAATCTTTCACCACGTATTATTAGTTATTTCATAAAACTCCCTTTAGTGCTTACATGATACTTAAAGGATTGGTGGTATTGTCATTTATATTATGATTTTCAATCTGGGGTGATTTGTATGCAAGTTACTGTTTTGAGCTGGGGGTGGTGAACATATTTGCAAATATAGCTGGTTTTGGTTTAATGTTTTCTCATTGTGTGTTTAAAAAATGTTTATCATTTATTTCTTCAAGTTATCTGAAACAAGAAAGTCTATTTTGGCTTAGAGGTAATCAGTAGGAAAACAATGGAAAGAAATGGCATTTTTCAGTACAAGTGAACCTTTGTTTGAGGCCTCTCAATTTCAAAATGATTCATTATCAATCCATTTGCTCATCTGAGATACTTAAAAATAACTGAATATATAAGTTTACTTTGTGGATAAACTTGTAAAGATCTAATAATTATAGCTTTTATAATGTATTTGTTTTTATTTATTTATTTAGTTAGTTAGCTGTTAGTTAATTCTTGCTATTGTCAGACATGGGGTTAGGTGCCAAGAGTGCTCTCACCTGATCACCATAGGTATTCCAAGGCTTACACGGCGTACCCACAGATACACAGCTAAGTAGAGGCGGAACCAAATAGTCAGAATAAACAATTTCTAGTGCTAGCACAATTAACTAATGTGTTCTATGTAAAGTGGGCATCATCCCTCTATTAGGGAAGATACCCTCACTATGTTTTATTATAGCCCTTTCCATTCCTCTTTATCCTCAAAAAAAGCAATGATCATATTTTGTTTTTGTTTTTGTTGCCTTTGTTTAACTGTCTATATTTACGCCATTTCAGCTGACCCTTCCTTCTGGGTCTTTGTTTCGAGTATTATTCTCTGGAGGAAAGATTCTGAGATAGAGATAACCAGGCAGGATATTTTCGCAGGGAGAATTCTTAGGATAAGCATCTGAGAAAGGGAGGTGTTGGCCAGATGGAAAGCTGGATGCCTGTTCAGATTTGCGGACTAAGTCTTTGGACTCCCATGGTGCCCAGGAAAGAGACACGACCCCTGAATGATGTTGTTTTCTACATCTGAGACAATCCACGGAGGGGGCTGACAACTGACAGCTAAGGGTCATCTTGGAAGCACTCCCTCAGATGGAAAAATGAGCCTCTAGTTCCTGAAGGGCAATCTGTGCAGTGCATCACAGGATGCTCCACAGTAATTATAAAACTCTTCTTTAATTCATAAGTGAAATAATATAAATTATGCATGTGTATGCATACACATACGTACTCTACTGTATGCATAAATATATTGTTATAAATATCAAATAAGGTTACAGCATAGTCAATTAAAGACAGTTACTACAGTAACACCTTATAAAATATTTAATGCACATACTTACATATGCAAAAATATATATGTGCATTTCTATGTAATCTGTGCTATTCCCAGATGTAAGAGACTCATTGAAAAAGCTAATGAATTCCTCAACTGCAGAAATAAATGTGTTCATGCATTAAATTTATTTTAGATCCTTGAATTAGGACAACTGATTGCTGTCCATTATAGACAGCATTTCTGAATTCCTGCATCTAGATGATTAATGATAGTGTAAATTGTACATGTTTACCACTATTAAAGAAAATAAATAAAGCTTCTGAGTGCCTCTGATTG
This sequence comes from Homo sapiens, assembly GCF_000001405.40. Taxonomy (NCBI): domain Eukaryota; kingdom Metazoa; phylum Chordata; class Mammalia; order Primates; family Hominidae; genus Homo; species Homo sapiens. Next base: position 63,607,311 of record NC_000016.10, read on the forward strand.
TATGTTCACAGTTGAACAAATTGTTTATTTTTATACATAGGCCAACAAACTATAATTCATGAATTTGACTTCTTCCTTAGCCTTAAACTGTTTCTTCTGTAGCCTAGGAAAATGATATAGAGAATTCAAGCTGCCCCTCTGGGGAGAGTTCCGAGAGGCAGAACCAGAGCAGAGTAGACATTTCAGAGAAAGAAAAAGAGAAAAACAGCTGTACTCTCTATATTTTATTCCATTTAATCTTCACAATACACCCTAATCAAAAGGCACTTCCAAATAAAAAATCCACATTAAAGATTTTAGATTAACTTGTCCAAGATCATATATGAAATATTTTTGCAGCGCCAGGATGAAACCTTGTTCTATTGACCCAAAGTGCAAGTTTTAATCCTCTTCCACCTACTAGGAAAATTTTTCAAAGGTATACTTGTATTTGAGGTAGCTAACTGGGAGCACCTATAAGATGAGTGCCCTGGTGTAACACTAGACACTTTATTTTCCCATTTTTCCTATCTTGACATGGATTTGTGACTATTCCTCTTTGGGAGAGAATCAATAGAGACGCATGAAAAAAAGAACTGAACTCTTAAAAATGTTACAATCTTAAAGCAAATGAACCATTAAGGTATCCAGACAAAAGTCAAATGAAGCTCCTTGTGATTCTCTTGAAGAGTTGGATTAAGCTTCTTCAATTCTTGGACAAGTTTGCACCTGTCCACAGATTCTACTTTTCTTCCTTTAATAATTCAGCTATTGGCAGTTGGAGCTTTGCTTTTGCTTCATTACTCTCCTCTTGGGAAGTAATATTTCCTCAAAAATTTGGTGACATTTTTATTTCTCATGTTTAAAGGATCCCTCTCCATCTCTTCCAGGGGTCACACATTTCTACCATCTCAGACAGATGGACTCTCTCATTCTTATCCAGGCTGGCAGTGTTCAAATTCAGGTGCTTATTTTTTTCCTTTGATCTACCACTGCTCATTTACATCTCTGTCCATTAGACAGAAGTGTCAGTGCCTTTCCTTTTTTTTTTTTTTGCCTCCATATTACAACTCAATGAACTTGCATTAGTAGATATATTTTGGATTTTTCTAAAAGTATAAGGGTTTTTAAATTATCAATGAAAAGCTGATTAAATGAAAGTGGAATTAATATAAAATGTTAATTATTTAAAAACTGCAGTAAGACGAGATCATGGCATGTTTTAAATATACATAAATATTTTCATATATAGATTGAAGACAATCTATATATGCACTAATGGTCTTTTTCTCTGTGTCTGTGGGTCTAATTTTGAATATTGTTAAGGCCCTGCTTGGATGTCAACGTATCCAAGTAGCTTTCAATGTTTTTCTCCCAAATTACCAAGCATATTAATGTTTCTCATATTGAATTATATTTTATCAAATCAAATTTTATAACAGATTAGTATTTTTCCTGAGTTACAATATTTGAAACTAGCAAGCTCCAGAAGAGAAGAAATTAGCTTAGAGAGAAAAGAAAAAAAACAGATTTAGAACCAGGCCTCTGGTTATTAATGATTATCAGACATTGATTTGGTTGCTTAATCTCTCTAAGCCTCATTTTTCTCATCTCTAAAATGGTGCTAATACCAATGCCTATGTTTTAGCATTGTTGTGAGGACCAAATAAATTTTTATATGTAAAATTCTTAACTCAAAATGGGAACCATGCTAACTTTTTGAAAATGCTTTACTATTGATATGAAGTGTTTTGGAGCTCAAGATATGTGGGTCTCCAATAGCAAGACAGTTATCCACACTGAGTTTTAGTGATTTCAGCTCTGCAATGAGAAAAAGAAGAAAACAAACAAACAAAAACAAAAGCAAGGTCTCTCCTTGGCTTTTGAGAAGGCAGGTTTTGTTTGTTTGGCTTTGTTTATGTCATCATGATCAGCATGCCTATTTTAACTGTGTCCTTACGTGACCAGCATCCCCACTGCGTAGCGCTGTGTTGGATTATTTTTTTTGTAGCAGATTTATTGATATATAATTTTAGAACGTTTTCATCACCCTGAAGTAGTTCCTGTACTTTTTATGGGAACAGCCCCCTGACGACCTACTCACACACAATCTCTCTCCCTCCTCACCCAGGTTCAGGCAGCCTTAAATCTACTTTCTCTATATATCGACTTTACTATTCTGAACATTTCACATGAATAAAATCACATAATGTGTGATTATGTGGCTTATTGTGATTGTCTCCTTTAACATAACATACTGTTTTCAAGGTTCACCCATGCCATAACTTATGTAAGTACTTTGTTTCAGTTTATTGTTGAATGTTACATCATGTTGAAACACCACATATTTATCCACTGATCAACTGGCAGATATTTGGGTTCTATGCACTTTTTGGCTATTATGAATAATGCAGCTATAAACATTTGTGTACAAGTTTTTGTTTGTATGTATGCTTTCATTTTTATTCATTAATTGTTTTAGAGACAGGTCTCATTGTATCCCCAGGCTGGACTGCAGTGGCACAATCACAGCTCACTGCAACCTCCACCTCCCAAGTTCAAGGGATCCTGCTACCTCAGCCTCCCTAGTAGCTGGGACTAAAGGCAAGCACCACCAGGCCCAGCTAATTTTTTATTTTTTTATAGAGACGGGGTTTTGCCATGTTGCCCGGGTTAGTCCTGAACTCAAGCAATCCCCCAACCTCAGCCTCCCAAAGTGTTGTTATTAAAGGCGTGAGTCACCACAACTGGCCTGCTTTCATTTTTATTTGATATATACCCAGAAGTGGAATTTCTGGATCAAACAACTCTATGTTTAATTTTTTGAGTAACTGGAAGACTGTTTTGTGAAACAATGGTACCTTTTTGTATGCAAACAACAATGTATGAGAGTTTTTATATTTCCGCATATTCACTAAAATAGTGTTTACAGTAACCAAAATAGCATGGTACTGGTACAAGAACAGACACATAGACCAATGGAACAGAATAGAGAACCATCCTTTGCTTCTGATGAGAATATAGCTGTCATTGAGATTTCCTTGTAAGTAATGAGCCATTTCTATCTTTCTGCTTTCAAGATGTTCCCTTTCTATCTGGCTTTCAATAATTTTATTATGATGTGTCTGTGGTGAATTTTCTGTATTTCTCCTATGTGGAGTTTTTATATGTATAGTGGGCCATATGTGCGTCTTCTTTACAGAAGTGTCAGTTCATGTACTTTGCCTACTTTTTAATGAAGCTGTTTCTTTCTTTCTTGTAAACTTGTGTAAGTTCCTTATATATGCTGGATATTAGGATTTTGTCAGATGCATAGATTGAAAAAATTTTCTCCCATTCTGTAGGTTGTCTGTTCACTCTGTTGATAGTTTCTTTTGCTGTGCAGAAGCTCTTTAATTAGGTTCCATTTGTCAATTTTTGCTTTTGTTGCTATTGCTTTTGGTGCTTTCATCATGAAATATTTGCCTGTGCCTATGTCCTAAATGGTATTACCTAGGTTTTTTTTTCTAGGATTTTTACAGTTTTGGGTTTTACATTTAAGTCTTTAATCCATCTTGTGTTGATTTTTGTATACAGTGTAAAGAAGGGGTCCAGTTTCATTTTTCTGCATATGGCTAGCCAGTTTGCCCAAAAACATTTACTAAATAAGGAATCCTTTCCCTGTTGTTTGTTGTTGTCAGATTTGTCAAAAATAAGATGGTTGTAGGGGTGCAGTCTTATTTCTGGGTTCTCTATTCTGTTCCATTTGTCTATGTGACTGTTCTTGTACCAGTACCATGCTGTTTTGGTTACTGTAGTACTGTAGTATAGTTTGAAGTCAGGTAGCATGATGTTTCTAGTTTTGTTCATTTTGCTTAGGATTGTTTTGACTATTTTTCACAGAACTAGAAAAACTATTTTAAAATCCATATGGTTCTTACTAGTTTCAAATTCTTACCACAATCCATTTTTTCTTCTACTCACTTTATTTGTGCTGTTATCCTCAAATATACTACATTTTTATATGTTAAAAACCTCCAAAATACAAATGTATATTATTTGGTACAGTTGGTTCTTAAGTCAGTTAGGAGAAGAAAGTAAAATAAATATATATTAATAAAGCCTTTTATATATACATAATTATCTTTACCAGTGTTGTTTTCCGTGTGAATTTTAATTATGCTCTGGGGTCGTTTGCTTTTACCCTGAAGAACTTCCTTTACAATTTCTTACAAGATACAGCCAGAAAAATACATAAATTCTCTAACATATTTGTCTTCTAACAACAAATTCTCACTTCTGTTTACATTTTGGAATGTCTATTTCAACATCATGTTTGAAAGATGACTTTATTGGGACATGGTTGGCAGTACTATTCTTTTGAAAATGTTGAATATCTTTACTGCCGTCTAACATCCTTTGCTTCTGATGAGAACATAGCTGTCATTGAGATTTCCTTGTAAGTAATGAGCCATTTTTATCTTTCTGCTTTCAAGATTTTCTTTTCTATCTGGCTTTCAATACTTTTATTATGATGTGTCTGTGGTGAATTGTCTGTATTTATCCTATGTGAAGTTTTTATTTGTATAGGTGGGTTTTTATCAAATTTAGAAAATTTTCAGCCATTATTTCTGCAAATACAGTGTTCTGCTCCTTCATGTCTCTCCTTTCTGTCATTCCTGTTACATATCTGTAGGTTCATTTAATGGTGTCCCATTTCTCTGAGGTTTTCTTCATTTACTTTGCATTATTTTACTCTGTTATTTGGACTGCATAATATCTATTAATCTATCTCCATGTTTGCTCTTTCTTCTTGTAGTTCAAGTCTATTGCTGAACACTTCTAGTGAACTTTTCATAACAGTTATTGTGTTTTACAACCCCCTCATTTTTATTTGCTTCTATTTTTATAATTTCTATTACTTTATTGATATTCTCTATTTGATGAGATTACCAATATACTTCCTTTACTTCTTCAAATATAGTTTTCTTCAGTTCTTTGAACATTTTTATAATGGCTACTTTGAAGTCACTGTCTATCTGACCCAGAGTTGCTCTCACGGGCAGTTTTTAATGCCTATACTTTGTCTTGAGTACTAGCCAGGCTTCCTTTCTCCTTTGCCTGACTCCCAATTTTTGGTTGTAAACAGGATGTTTTCTATGATATATTGTAGCAACTTTGAATTCTACTTACACCGAGCCCTCCAAGACTTATGTTTTCTTGCTTGTATATTTGTTTAGTGACTCCTTTTGTTACTGTAGTCATTACTCTTTCCCCTAAGTACAATGCTTCTGATGTTGCTCCACAGAGGGTGGAGTCTTGAACACAATTATAGTCACCCTCAGATGGCAGTGGCTTCCTCAGCATTCTTTTTCTCTGTCTTCCCCTCATGATGTAGCAGATAAGCTCCACTAATTGCCTGCTGTTTGCTCTTTTGTTTGCAACAATGTCTAGGGGAATGCATTCTATACAGGCTTGTCCAATTCAATTTGGACCCCTGCAGGATACATTTTGAGGTTAGTACTCAATATATGTTCTGATCTCAGGAGGCTATTTTTACCAGTCTATTTTCCTGGTTTTCTCTGATAGACTAGTTAGCCTGCAAGTTAGTTTGCAAGTTCATCTGTAATGAAGGTACCAGTCTTCTCTTAATTACTTTTCACCATAATCTCCATTGTTTTTGAAAGAACCACTGAGCTTAACTTCCCCACATTCTGATGCAAAGTCAGTTCTTTGGGGGAAGTTTCGTAGCACTCCTTTTTGTAACCTGTCTCTCCATCTGGGCAAAATCCCTGAATCACTACTTTGTAGTTGGAAACAGACACAATGGCCCACTTCTTTCAGCATGACACCTCTGAATTAGAAACGGGTTATTTGACAGAGGGAAGTCAGTAGCCTCTAGTCTTTTCATCTTACCTCTTCCAGCATGGGGCATTCCACCTTACTAAAGATCCGGGTCAAGAATAACCAGAATTCCAGTATTCATGGTGAACCATGCCCAAGGTAGACTCTCCATCTTATGAGTGGAGGTTGTGTGAAAAAATAATACATCTCCTTCCTGGGCACACTCATCTGAAACTCAGTATTTTTAACGTATCTAATGATGTCCTACCATTTATTGGAAGAGACTGTAGACCTACACAGGCAATTAGAGTTAGTAAAACTCCTGTGTTCTTGACTGCACTCATCTAGAATGGAGTTTCTGTCACACTGGGAGCTGGGAGAGGATAAGGAAGAAACGACTGGTTCAAATGCTACACACTCTCTTCTCCTTGTGTTTTAGTAGACACTCTTGAATAAATGTTTCTTCATTTGTTGTATGATATTAGGCCCATTTCCAGAGACTTCAAGTGCTTCTTTCTGTATAATTTTTATGAGTTTCACTAATGAGTCGGTCTATAGAACATCTCATTACTCTTCTGGAATTATACTGCACTTTTTAGTATGTTTCTATATTTATTATTTCCTGGCTGTTATTTTCCATTTTTTATATATCACAAGTGTTTTTATTTCAGTTCTATTATAATAGCTGTGTTAAAGTTCTTTTCCATTAATTTAAACATCTGAGTCATCTCAGGGTCTGTTTTATTGACTTTACTTTTAGTATGACTCATGTCTTCCTATTTAACCTTGGTTTATATTTTACTTCATTGTTACTTGCTGGACTCTGGGAGTAATAAGTTGTGGGGAATACCAGAGGCCATCTTCCCTTAAAGGATGTTGATTGTATTCTGTTGGTAACTGACTGTTATCTCCTGGTCAGCATTCAGTCTTAGTTCTATTTTTTATTAGTTCTCTTTATCTTTTGGCCTAGCTTCTAAAACGTGACTCTAACTGTAGTGAGTGATTTTTTTTTTTTTTTTTTTTTTTTTTTTTTTTTTTTTTTTGAGACGGAGTCTCGCTCTGTCGCCCAGGCTGGAGTGCAGTGGCGAGATCTCGGCTCACTGCAAGCTCCGCCTCCCAGGTTCACGCCATTCTCCTGCCTCAGCCTCCCGAGTAGCTGGGACTACAGGCACCTGCCACCACAACAGGCTAATTTTTTTGTATTTTTAGTAGAGACAGGGTTTCACCGTGTTAGCCAGGATGGTCTCGATTTCCTGACCTCGTGATCCGCCCGCCTCGGCCTCTCAAAGTGCTGGGATTACAGGCGTGAGCCACCGTGCCCGACCAAGTAGTATGCGATTCTTACCTGCTTGGTCTTTCATGAGTTTCAGTGAAATGCCTAAGATATTCAATAAGGTCTCTTAACCTTGACTGGACCAGAATTTCTATGTCTGGAGGCCTACATAAACTCTGCTATTTCTATTCAGTTCTCAGCTCTTTATTAACATTTCTGCCAGTCCTCCGTGTGACTCAGCCTATGCAAAAACAACACACCCCTCAGCCTAGGATCTATAATAAATGCTCATGCAGAATTGTATCCTTTCTCTTTCCAGTTCCCTATTCTCTGGTAACTTACTCCAACATTGTAGCTACTTCAGTACCTCAGAGCACTGATCTGTCTCTTCTGGTTCCACATGCTCTGTCTAGCCTTTATCTCCTTGATCTGAAGCATGTTACAGGCCTACAGCAGAAAGCCAGGAAATATGTTGGACTCACCTAATCTGCTTGCTCTAAAATTTTACAAGCATGTGCTACTTGTTGCTCATTGTCTGAACATAGAGAATTTACATATTTTTTCTGGCTGTATAGCTTCTTTCAGTATGAAGAAAAGTCTTGTAACAGTTATACTCTTGTGTGGCTGGAAGCAGATGGCTTTATGTTTTTTTCTTAAGCTGATGGAAATAATTATTTTCACCCATAGACTTTCTGGGAAGTGTTTATTCGTAGGACCCATGGAATATTTGGTGAGCAAGTCTCCAAGAAAGACTGGGTCTCATGCCAATATGAGTTGTAGGAATACAAAGTCATTGCTATTTTATTAAAGAAATGTATTTTTATTATGTACTCCAACCTTAAAAGTACGTTGGGTTATAACAACATGGTGTATCTTGTACATGAAGTTTCCATTCACTGAGATATGAGCTACAACTTATAAAGCTAGTTTTGAGAAAAAGGTCTTGAATTCAAGTTTAGGGGATATAGAATTTATACTGCTTGTTGTATAACAAAAATATATATGCCTGCCTGCTATAGAAATGCTTTAGTAAGCTATTACAGTTGCCTTTATTTCACCTTTTTCCTTTTTTCTTTTTTTTCTTTTTTTGTTGAGACGTCTCGCTCTGTTGCCAGGCTGGAGTGCGGTGGCGTGATCTCAGCTCACTGCAACCTCTGCCTCCTGGGTTCAAGCGATTCTCATGCCTCAGCCTCCCGAATAGGTGGGACTACAGGCACCCACCACCATGCCTGGCTAATTTCTGTATCTTTTAGTGGAGATGGGGTTTCACCATGTTAGCCAGGATGGTCTCAATCTCCTGACCTCGTGATCCACCAGCCTCAGCCTCCCAAAGTGCTGGGATTACAGGCGTGAGCCACCGCGCCCGGCCTCAACTTTTATTTTCGATTCAAGGGGTACATGTGCAGGTTTGTGACAAGGGTATATTGCATGATGCTGAGGTTTTGGGTACAATTAAACATGTTTCCCAGATAGTAAGCACAGTATCCCATGAGTAGTTTTTCAACCCTTGCCCACCTCCTTTCCTCCCTTCTTTTGTAGTTCCCAGTGTCTATTATTCCCATTTTTATCTCCATGTACACCCAATGTATATTCCCGCTAATAAGTGAGAACACTCGGTGTTTTGTTTACTGTATCTGCATTAAGTTTGCTTAGGATAATGGCCTCCAGCTGCATCCATGTTGCAGCAAAGAACATAGTTTCATTCTTTCTTTTAAGCCATTATAGTTAACCAAGAGGAAGTCTAAGACCAAAGCTCCATCAAGTACCTATGGCTTCAACCAGGATATAAAAACCTATGATCACAATATCATTTCTAGCCCTCACTGAATGCCAGAATAAATGTACAGTTTTTAATGTATCCTGGTTAGATTTATCTAGTAAGTTAAACAGAGATAATTCTGAGGAGTCACGGCACAGTGATATTGTCACGGGATCCTTGAGGTGTTGCTTCGCTAGCTGGAAACCTTTGTGGCTGGCAGTGTCTTCTGCCTGAGTATTGCTTGTGCCCACTGACCTCGTTCCACCCACTTGGTCCAGCAGGCTGTGCTTGGCTCGTGCTACCAGCCCAGATCCCACAACTGCCAAGGGCTAGTCAGGTGCAGGCAGAGTGGCAAGGGGTGTGTGGGCGAGTAAGCGTGGGATTCGGCCACTGCACACAGCCAGGCACACTGGCTGCTGTGGCAGCTGGGTGGCTCCAGGCACTGGCACAGTGGCCAGCTCCATGGAGGCTGTGGCTAGAGCAGATGTACTACATGCAGCTTCTGCTGGAGGTACCTGAGTGCCCGGAATTGGTGGGTTTTTGGTCTTGCTGACTTCAAGAATGAAGCTGCAGACCCTCACGGTGTTACAGTTCTTAAAGATGGTGTGTCTGGAGTTTGTTCCTTCAGATGTTCAGATGTGTCCAGAGTTTCCTCCTTTTGGTGGGTTCGTGGTCTCGCCGGCTTCAGGAGTGAAGCTGCAGACCTTCCCCCGTGAGTGTTACAGCTCATAAAGACGGCGCAGACCCAAAGAGTGAGCAGCAGCAAGATTTATCGCAAGGAGCAAAAGAACAAGGCTTCCATAGCGTGGAAGGGAACCGGAGCGCATTGCAGCTGTTGGCTCCCGTGGCCTGCTTTAATTCCCTTAACTAGCCCCAGCCACATCCTACTGATTGGCCCATTTTACAGAGAGCTGCTTGGTCCACTTTACCCAGAGCTCATTGGTCCGTTTTGACAGATTGCTGATTGCTGCGTTTACAAACCTTTAGCTAGACAGAAAAGTTCTCCAAGTCCCCATCAGATTAGCTAGACACAAAGCGCTGATTGGTGTGCTTACAAACCTTTAGCTAGACACAGAGTGCTGATTGGTACGTTTACAATCCTTTAGCTAGACAGAAAATCTCCAAGTCCCCACCGGACCCAGAAGCCCAGCCGGCTTCACCTCCCAGTGGCACTCACCGCGGGACTTTGCAGCACCTAGCCCGGGCACTCCCGCAGCCCAGAGGGAGCTCGCCACCCCCCTACCCCGCCACAACAAGCCCAGCTGGGGCCAGCCAGCTGGCGGAGTGCGGGGCCCGCCCAGCCTGCGCCCACCCGGAACCCGTGCCGGCCCGCGAGCGCCGCGCGCAGCCCCGCCTCCCGCCCGCGCCTCCCTCTCCACACCTCCCCGCGAGCAGAGGGAGCCGGCTCCGGTCTTGGCCAGCCCCAGAGAGGTGCCCCCACAGCGCAGCGGCGGGCTGAAGGGCACCTTGAGCGCGGCCAGAGCGGACGCCGAGGCCAAGGAGGCGCCGAGAGCGATCGAGGGCTGCGAGCACGTTGTCACCTCTTACCTGCATCCGGACGCGGGGAATGCGGTGGCACTCAGAAGTTTGGAGATGCCAGGAACTGCAGTGCCCGGAAGAGGGTTTCACAGCCCTGGCTCAGGGAGCCCCTGGGACTATGCTCCCTGAAAGGCCACAGCTCTTCTCTCCTTCTCATCACCTCCAATGTGGCAAGTGGGTGGGGCGGTGGGGAGCAGGGGGAGGAGAGTGCGTGTTTTAGCCCTGTTTGTGTTACAGCTTCTTCAGTCCCATCATTCTGCAGGTCCCGAGTTCAGGCAGGTCATTCTGTCAAGTGTCCAGCTGTCAGCAAAGAGGAGACCCACAGCGGGTAGCTCCTTCATGCAGCTAGCAGCCCAGATGTCTGTGAGTTTGGGTGAGTCTGGAGTTTTATGGACTTCAGAAGACAGGAAGTGCGTGTTGATTGGTCCATGGGTGGCCATGGGCGGGCCTGGAAAAAGCACCTATAAGTTCTCACTCCAAGCCATGGACTCCACCCCAACTGACAGCCCAGCCCCCAGGCTTCAGGCTGTCCCTGGCTTGAAGTTGGGGCTTCACTAGGTACCCACCCCTTTCTGCCCGGGAGCCTCTCTGCCTCCTGCCACCATCAATCATGCCCACAGCGCCCAAGCTGTTTGATCCAAGGGACGCCTGCAGGCCTGCGCCAAGCCACTCTCAGCCTCACCGCGGCCTCCCACCCATGCTGTTGGCACCCAAAATCTGGAGGGGGCTGCGGAGGCAGGGGGCTGCCATGTCAGTGCCTTCCCAAGCATGTGCACACCTGGGCAGGTTGCAACAGTGGGGTCTCAGCCTCAACTTTGCTCTGAAATCAGAGCAGGCACTGGGAGCAGAGAGAGATCAAGCAGAGGGAGCAGGCACTTCCAAGCTTGCTAGGGCAGGGGGCTTCCTGGGCCCCCGAGAGCACAGGAATGCCTGGGTCCACAACCGCGACTGGGCGCCTGCAGCTGTGCCTGGGAGGGTGGGTCTCCCACCCTGCCAACTCGGAAGGGAACGGGGCTCCCTCCTGTTCCAAGCTCCCACCTGCTCCATGGAGGGCACATACTTGGCTGTGCCTCCCCTGCAGCAGCCGGTGTCTTCACAGATGGCCACCACTGCCATCAATATTGAATAAGGTGAGGTATTCCATAAACTAGGGGCTGATATTCTCATTGAGTTTCTATTTAACTGGGCAATTGTCAAATTATTCAATGGGGAGTTTTGTGTTGTGGCTCCATACAAAGTGGTGATGCCACTGAATTCAGAGTCTCCTGTAAAAGTCAGTGTGCGTCAGCAATGGACTCCAAGTTAAATAACCATGTTCAGTGTTTGTTTGAGGAACAATATAACTATAGATACCTATGATTTTTATCTCCTGAGGGCAGATGGTTTTGATGAGCAGGCACTAATGCTTCCTTCCTTAGGTACTTCTAAAAATATAAATTAAAGTCTTAACATTGTGGTTTCCGTAGCAGTCTCTTGTGTTTTAAAATAGCATGAATCAATTCACCAAGGCTAGAGACTTCTCACATTGTAAACCAGTGAAATTAAGTTTGTGAATCTGAAAAGCTGAAAAATCACCCCTGGGACTGAAGAAAATGTGAGAATAAGACTGAGAAGCCATAATTCCCTATCCATCTTCCTACACACTTTCATAGCCTTTGTCGTCTGAGGGAAAAAGAAAGGTTTTCATCATGCCAGTTAAAGGCTGTGAATGTGACCTAGATAATTCTTGGGGAATTTAAGTTGAAACACTTCTTTTAATGTCCTTTGAAAGGAAAAGCTAAACCTTCATTTCTCAGAATGAAATTGTGGTCAAAACAAATGTATCAAAAGGGCTAGAGAGAGATGGAAAAAGATTGTATTTCCAGGTAAGCTGCTCAAATCTATCTGGTCATTCTCTAAAATAGTCTCATCATATTCAAATCATTAGAACCACTGTGTGTGTCTGTGTGTGTGTGTGTGTGCATGCGTGTGTGTGTGTGTGTGTAGTGGTTTAAATAATAACCAAACATTATTCTCCACCATAGAAATACACAGCTTCTCCACAGGAATAAGAAAAACTTAATATTCAAGAAGCATCTATTTTAGGATAATAATACTATATAAATAGTTTTCTCACTAAAAATATGTCTTTTTAAAATTTTTAAATTTTTTTTATTTTGAGACAGAGTCTCACTCTGTCGCCCAGGCTGGAGTGCAGTAGCGTGATCTCGGCTCACTGCAACCTCTGCTGCCCAGGTTCAAGCGATTCTCCTGCCTCAGCCTCCTGAGTAGCTGGGATTACAGGTGCCCGCCACCACGCCCGGCTAATTTCTGATCTTGAACTCCTGACCTGGTGATCCAACCTCCTCGGCCTGCCAAAGTGCTGGTATTACAGGCATAAGCTACCGTGCCCAGCCTAAATATGACATTTTATCCCATAGTAGAGTTCTCTTTTGCTACTTACCTCAAGACAATAAATTCTGTAGTAAAATTTAATAGTTTTAGCTTCTTACTTTAATTAGAACAAAAATAAAGGAGGATAAGCAGGATGATTACTCAGTTTGATTTTGAGATGTTTTACAGATACCCAATAAAATTTCATTGAATGATTATAACAATTGACCTTGAGACAATATCAGAGGTATTAAAGTTGAAGAAATTTGAGCTGTTCAGGGTATGAAGATAAAGTCTTGGCCGGGCATGGTGGCTCACACCTGTAATCCCAACATTTTGGGAGGTTGAGGCGGGTGGATAACTTGAGGTCAGGAGTTTAAGACCAGCCTGGCCAACATGGTGAAACACCATCTCTACTAAAAATACAGAAACCACTCAAGCATGGTGGTGTGCACCTGTAATCCCAGCTGCTTGGGAGGCTGAGGCAGGAAAATCGCTTGAACCCAGGAGCCCCAGGAGGTAGACGTTGCAGTGAGCTGAAATTACACCTCTGTACTCCAGCCTGGTTGACATAATGAGACTCTGTCTCAAAAAAAAAAATAATAAAATAAAAATAAATAAATAAATAAATAAAAATAAGGTATCCATGTCACCATTACAAATACCTGAAATTTAACAGAATTTAACAGGAAAGAGACACTGGGGACTATTTATCCTGCTCCCAAGGAAAGTACATTTAAAAGGAGGAAGAATTTGGATCACTCTAAAAGAAAAGGAAAAAAGAGAAGGATGAAATAGTAAGAATTGTCCCACAGTAGTTTAATTTGGTGCCCGTGACTAAGTAGTGTGGTTCACTGACTAAAGGAAATGAGAAAGATACCATTTCTTCTTTAGAGATTAGCTGAACTGGGTGCCCTAAAAGATTTTCTCCAGCATCAAGTCTATACAAATTAAAATATCTCAAGATTTAAATTAATATGTCCATTTACCCAATAATTTATTCACGTTTAATCTTGAATACTTACTTGGTTTCTTCAATCATGTTAGTTACCATTGATCAAAGTTGTGGAAGATGCACATTTATCTTACACTTCACAGCTTCAAATATGATAGTTCAGACAAGAAGTAAACAGACAATGTGTACACCATGTGATAACAACTATAACCGAGAAAGTACAGGATCTATGGAAGTAGAAAGCAAGGGCATTTCAACACTATTACTTTTCACAACAGTACAGAACATTCAGGCACCACCGTGGAAACACCACAATCTTGAAGACACTTATGTCAAATATTCTGGGACCAAAGTAAATTTTGAATCATCTTTGTGTTTAGAGAGTGGTGAGGAGCATAACAGAGAGCCCTTTTACCATCGAATTATTTCCCCTAGTGAAAGTAGAATTGTCACTAGGTTACCCCAGTATAGTCAAATATTTTCTTCATAAATACTGTCCATCATTATCTTTATTAATAAATTCCTGTGTAATAAATTGATACTAGATCATGAAAAGTTTTGGATTTAGTCAAGCAAATATTTTCTGGGATTCAACTGACTTAATTTTTGAGATTTGTCAATCATCATATACCAATTACAAGCTCCAAAGAACTAATAATATTACCTTTAGAGTCTTCTTATTGGATGAAGAAAGTCCATTAACCACTTGCAACTATTTTCCTGACAAAAAAAATGTTACCCAATATAATAGAATAGTGATTTCCACGTAGTGCAATGGTAAAAGAGCCTTTGCCCCAATAGCAACTAGAAGTAGCAAAGTAGAATGACCATAAATCTGTTTGTTGTGTGTACATTTTTATATACTTTTATTTTATTATTTTTGGCTTTATTTTGAAAAAAAGGAGCTGTAATACACATTTTTATAAAGTATAACCACATAAAGTTCTATTTACTGCTATACATATATGTTTTGGTGTGGCCTATTATTCGCCTTTTAAAAAAAACTCAATTTCCTTTTGGAGGTCTGTTCATCCTCTACTCTTAATTCATGGAATTTGTATGAGTTAGAGCTCACCAGTGATAATAATGATGGTGGAAATTTACTGAAGACATCCCTACATAGGGTGTGCTAGCAATTTCTGTAAACCAGGCACACAAACGTTATTTGAAAATACGAGTTATATATTACTATTTACCCTTTATATATGCAAATTGGAAGCAAAAAAGATGAAGTAGCTTGATCAAGACAATATAGTTACAATAATCAAGGGAACTTGGGCTCAAATCAGGCAACAGAATTCTAGAGATGAAACCAGAATGTGACCAATTAGAAATTTTTTATTTTATTTCTTTTACTTTTTTTTTTTTTTTCTTTTTCCGAGGCAGGATCTCACTGTGGCAACGAGGCTTGAGTGCAGTGGCACGATCATGGCTTACTGCAGCCTCCATCTCTAGGCTCAAGCAATCCTCCCATCTCAGCTTTCTGTGTAGCTAGGCTGGAAACGTTATTTTTCTTAAAGGTAAGGAATGAGCTGATGTCCAAATAAAACCAATGGAATCAATAAATGTTGGGCTTTCTGGAAAAAAGCCAAACATGTTCAAGTCATATGGACTTGAACCTCTGAATATGTAAGGGTTTTTGCTTCCTTCTAGCAACTATGTGGCTGAAAAAGAGAAGACAATGGAAAGGAAGGCAACCCAAGGTTGGACCTGACTTGAGACTTGATGCTACCATTTGGACCATGAATCAAGCTGTGCTTAAATCCCTGAATAACCCAACAATTGAAAGGTACATAAGCCAGTATCTTTATGCCACATTTTTCTGTTTCTTTTTTTTTTCTTTTATTATTATACTTTAAGTTTTAGGGTACATGTGCACATTGTGCAGGTTAGTTACATATGTATACATGTGCCACGCTGGTGCGCTGCACCCACTAACTTGTCATCTAGCATTAGCATCTTAACCAACATGGTCACCAGGTTCACAGATTTCAAAGTTAATTGAGATGTCTTTAAGCAAAATCTGTCAGTGAACACTTTCACTGTCAGTGAAAACAAACAGTTCAAAAATAATATCTTGATAGCATGGTCACTTTCCTCTTTGAGAAAAGAAAAATATTGTGTGTGCCTGTGTGTGTTTATACACAAACACAATTTAACCATGAATCTTACATATTTCCTATCATCTTAGTAAAAACAATTATGCTTGTGTGTGTGTGTGTGTGTGTGTGTCTGTCTGTGTGTGTTTTTCTGTGTGTCTATGTTTATATGCAAACTTACATTTTCTGCTATGGTCCTTGTTTGTTTTCTATCATATTGTGGGGGAGAAGGGTCAGGTTCATGCTATTGCTTGTGCACACCAGCACTTTTCCCACGCAATTTGGAAATATATCTTTTCTAAATGATGTACAAAATTAATGAGGCCCATTAATATAAATTGAAAGACTGATATTTTTAGTCTTACTATGTACAAGTGTTACATAAAATGTAGTTCATAATAAGAACGTTTTTGCTTCTTTATTCAACACAAGTAAAACAGGACAAGAAAAGTTGGAATATATGCTGGAGTTATTTGTTTATCCCGTCATAGAACATTTAATTTAAAGGTCTCTATAACTCAGAGAAAGACTTCTGTGTTTGCTCTGTTTGACTTCTGATATGTCTCTCCTAATCTTGACAACAATAACAAGATTGTGGGCAGATAAAAATAAAATATATGCCCTTCATCATGCCACTGGCCAGGAACCACAGAAACAAAGAAGTATCAGTTATGGTCTGATTCCCCCATCGCAGCCACTGTCTGGTAAGAACACAAAACGTATTTGCAACAGTACAATGAACCCTATAATAGAGACACGAGCAAGGTATTAGTAATCTTTGCATACACCATAATGCCTCCCTCTGGGCCTTGTGCAAAGGAGAAGCTCACTAAATGCCACTTGAATTAATATTTTAAAAATGCACTGGGTTGCTTCACAATCCAGGTAATAACTCATTATAATGGTAGATCTTTCTCTATGTCTACAGATTTCATATAAGATAAGATGTATCTTTCAACGTCTATATTTATTTATTTATGTTAGTTTTGTTTTAAATTTTTTAAGTTCCAGTGTACATGTGCAGGACATGCAGGTTTGTTACATAGGTAAATGTGTGCCATGGTGGTTTGCTGCACCTGTCAACCCATCACCTAGGTATTAAGACCAACATGCATTAGCTCATTTTCCTAATTCTCTTAACTTATATATCTTAACTTAGAAAGTTTTTTTAAACTTGAAAAAATTTTGTAAAGTAATTACCTTCTTTGGTTACCTTTGTATCTCAATCAAAAATCTATAATGGAATCATCCCAGCAACTGTTCACTATTTACTTTTCCTCTAGCAGGTAAACTATCTTATATAAGGGGAGGTGATCTCATCATTCTGTTATACTTATATTTCTGTATTTTACAGCCTCATCAACAGGAAATTCTACCTGGTTTAACATTTCTTCTGTTGTGTCAGAGAAAGTCTGATTATTTAACAGACACGGAATGACAATTCAAATACGCTTTATTATGATTCAGGCTGTTCCCCTGCTGGTCTCACCCAGAGATAGCACAAGCCTTCCGATACAAGTACCTCCATCTCTACCATTCTAGCAATTCTTGAGGGTATTAATTACCCACTGGTGACACAGTACAAGAGACCTTTGACCATAGTTCAGCGTCAAATATCAGCGTCACACGGAAAGAATCATCACCTGTTTGAAACACACTACATTAAAAGTCAGTTGATCTGGATTCTAGTTTTAGTTCTAACAGTGACTACAGTAGTGACTACATGCCAGTCCCTACGTCTGCTAAGCAAAATATATCAGACCAGTGGCCAGAAGATCTGCTGTATGAATGCTCCATTCATTCATAGAAGAAAATAATACCTTCAAAGATCCTTTTCCCACAATATTTTAAAATTTCAATTCCCAATCTCTTCAGTTGAAAAATTCTGATATTTTCTGTCACATTGGTTGTGCACAGATTTGTTTCACGTTTGAAATAGCAGATACAAAATTACTCTAAGAACTATAAAATGCAGGCTTTGTTTTTCTAATTATAAATTGACAGCAAAAATAATTGTTTAAAAAATGAATGAAGATATTATCATTTCTTTATGTCTCTGAATTGTGTGACAGGCAAAGATTTTCAAGATAACACTATAAACTGTTGTAAACTGTACAACACTTACTGTATTATACCAAGTTACTGAGTTAAGTGGAGCTATGCCTGACTCTGCTTGTTTGTGCAATCAGGCTTAGGCTGATGTCTGTAGGAATTTCCATCCATATGTTAGGCAATAGCCTGGAGTAAAACATGCTTAGGATCAGAGTTCTTTGCCAGATTGTGCTGTTGTAATGCTTTCTAGAACAGCTGGAATATGTTTTCCAATAGTAAACAATAGCACCTAAATAGCTGTCTTGCCATGATTTAGAGATTTTAAACTCATCCCCATGTTTAATTCATCATAAGACTCCGTTCTGACATTTTAATAAGCAATTATTTAAATGATGCTTATTTCTTAAAAGTTGTCTTTTTTCAAATACATTTTTTGATGGATCTCTAACAAAACCAATGTTTGGAATATTTTTAGAGGAGGAAAAGGTAGCAATGTGGGGAAAATAGACAGCAGGGATAGCTGACCCAATAATAAGACATCAGTAGCCTACAAGAGAAAAAGAGTATACTAGGATTTGAAAATCCGATTTGAAATCCAAGTTACTCTAAACTATTGAGCACCTATGTATGTTGAGATAGAAAGTGACTGAATTTGTGACTAACTTCAGTTTAAATTAACAGAGGCTTATTGGTCATAACAAAACTATAACTTCCAAGGATGCGACCCCAAGCTAGGTCAGAGATTGAATAAGATCATCCAGGACCCAAGTTATTTCCACCTCTGTGTTCCATCATCCTAGAAGTAGTAGGTTTATATCATATGATTATCCCCTCACAGTTTCATGACATTGCTGAAGTTGATTGTTGCATATCTTAATATATCTTTACTCCATAGCAGAAAGAAGCAAGCATGGTAAAAGTGCAACAGTTTATTGTAGAAAGAGGTTATAGTTTTATATCAGATGAGAATCGCTTTCTAGCTAACTAATTTCTTATTACCCAGAATTGAGTAAAGTGCACTTCCTTAGAGCAAACCTGGTCAAAAGAATTAAATTTCTAAAAATAGTACAAATTAATAATTATTTGAGAGCAGACCAGAAATCTGTGTTTGAATAAGTTCTCCAAGTGATTCTGATGCCTGCAAAAGTTGTAAAACCAACCATACAACCAGTTTAGGCAGTGTGTATCTTTCCTGGGTCGACTCATTACTTATGATCTAAATAAACCAGAAATGCTGCAACAAGAAATAAATTGAATGTGTTAGTGTAGGGGGTGGCTACTGCAAAACCAATTCCAAAATACTCTTAGGAATGCACCTAAACTCTAAGGTTGTATTGTCTCTCATTTATTATAGGATTAATTTTGCCTATATGTCTCTCACATTAAAAGAACAAATCGAAATAGTACAATGGAAGAATACTTAATATTAACATTCAATGACGAAACAGGAAACAACAAACAAACAAGCAAAGAACAAACATGATTTTCTCCTGGAGTGGGGTAGTGAAAATGAAATGGAGGAATTGAGGTGAGAAAGTAAGAGTGGTAGCCAGGTGTTTAAAAGTGTACTGGAAATGTAGTTTTTGTTGTTGTTGAATAACAGGTGCATCCTTCAGCTTGGACAATATTCAGAGTATGACTCTGCCCTATAATAAAATATCACAATAAATGTTGTGAATCAATATCAAGAGGAAGCAATTAAATTATAGAGAGAAACTTTTTTCTGAATAAATAGCTAGAGTGAGGCATTTTGCTAAATTAATTGAATGAGCAAACATCCACAGAAATAAGTTGATTGAATATTACAACAAAAGGGGACATTTATAAATTGCAGTGGAGACCAAAAATACGTTTCATACTAAAGGATGATACTAAAGGATTCTGAAATCACACTAAAGGATTTTGAAAATGACCAGTAAAGATATAGAGGTGTAGAATAAGGGAGACATGGGACACAAAAAGATGACAGAAAAAAACAGACAAAAATATTGAGACCACATTAAACAAGTTTCAGCCATATTGTCCAAAAATTCCCACTAGTTCTTTAGAGAGGAGGAATTAACACTTAATATCAAAATAAGTTAGATGATAGTCAATTTTTAGCTTTTACAATTATGCAATATAAAAGTCATAGTGAATTCCATCTGATTCTCATTATGAAGTTTAACAAGACATTCTCAGTTTATGAATTTGTTATCCTTATGCCTTAAAATCCTTACAGACAGCACAGGTCCTAATAGTGAGGGCAGCATATGTGGATACTAAGTAAAAACCCAGTTGTCCAGAAGGGTTAATCAAAGATGAGCTCAGTCCCTTTACCCCCAAAAGAATGTTGCTTCAACAATAATTATATCTGACTGGATTTGCCTTATGTACATAAGTACTTAGTGAACTTTTCAAAGGTACGTAAGAAATAAATTATTAATATTATTTTAAAACGCCATGAAATGCTAGCATAGAAAGAAAAGGAAATGTATTTGTGATCTTTCATGGCTTGTGTGATGTAAAAATTCCTCATGGATAAGGGTCTTTCTAATTATTTTAGTCAGTAAAGACGACTTACACCTCATCAGTTTGATACCTAGCAGGAAAAGAAATCTGCAAATACTGTAATACTGGGTATATTCTGTGCCTGACTAGACTAATTTGTCACAGACAATCTATTTGGTCACTGAAGAGAAAGAGGGCATGTCTAAGAATAACTCAAAATATATTTGTACTTCAGAGCTCATACGTGTCAAATGGGATATTCTTTGTAGTCAACCCATTGTTGCTCTGACTTAAATTCTTTCCACTGTGGAACAAAAGTGCAGTAATTTTGAAAATGGCATTTTAAGTGAAGCTATTTATTTATACTTTATACTACATCATTATGGTTCAAAACCAAAAGGAATCGTGTGGTATAAAATGAAGTATGTTTCTGTGAAAAATGCACTGAATACAATACAATTTTATGGATAGAGAGGTATGGAATTCTCAACTGTATAAATATTGCAATTCGCAGAAGAAAGTTACAGTAGAAAAGCATCAACCTTCATAGAATTTTCAAGGTCAAAATTACAGTCTTGTCTTGGTCATTGTCTTACACTATGACCTAGGGGTGATTAATTCTCCATTGTTAAATGAGAGGATTGGACCCTCAAAAATCTTTCTCTCTCAATTTCTCTAGATTTGAGTTTGTAAATTTCAGTTTTGAAAATACATGTGAATGTATATGTATGTGTTTAAAAAATAAATGTATTTTCTTATGAAAAGTTTTTATAAAGAATGAAACAAGAAGTTCTTTAAAAGTATATCTATATTAATATCCTAGCAAGAAGCAAATGAAACACAGAAATTACAATATTTTGAGGAGGCCTTAAGACACCATTTCAAAATACATAGCAATGTCTCAGTTAAACCACAAAGGATGGTGGATTATCTTAAGTTTTTAGCCACCCTAGGTCCAAAGTGGTAACTAAACATCTCTCTTAGGTTTTCCTTTTTGCAACTCAAGAACTGTGGGAATAACATAATAAAGGAGCATAGATAGTCTCTGAAAGGTGGAAAAAAGCCTGGCTGCCTAAGAAGCTTAAGACTTGAATTACGTTTCTGTGAATCCCCTGAGGTGTTTTTATTGCTTTGCATACACCCCATACAGAAAGTTGCAGAAGACTCCAACCCCTTACCACTAATGGGCAAAAATAAAAGAAGCTCCAAATAAAATATTTTTGCTCCTGGCCATAGAAAAGAGGGTGACCTAACCAAAATAAGACATTCTTTTTTGGCAGTACATGCTCAACTACAAGCCACAAACCAACAGGAAATGTATACTTTACTATGCTTTCAGTGGGGCCAAGCACAGAGTTATCTTTGGCCCTTCCTCACACCACCTTGCAGAAAAAGGCAGCAGTGCTTTTATTTCCCAACCCTGTGAGAATAGCAAGACAAAGCAAGGATTTTATCTTTCATCCCTTGCCCACCAGAAGCAGGTGCTGGTATTTCAAGTCTTCTGCTGAGGCAGGGACAATGAGGCTGAGCAGGGGGCTGTTCTTCTATTCTCCAGGTGGTGGAAGCAGATATTGTTCTAATTCCACTACCAGGGAAGTGACAGTGGGGTCTTGTGGAAAGCTGTATCATCAATAAGTCAGAAAAGCTGGTATGGGTATAGGCTAGGGAGCAGTGTGCTTTCCCCTATCTTTTAATGTAAGCAGGCCCAGTGGCAAAATGAACCTCCATTCTCATCCAACATCAACAAGATGGAACAAAGTGATGTAAGGTATGGCTATTTGCAGTCCTTTTCTAGCCTCCCACTTCTGGTATCAGTGGGGCCTGGCAAAGAGCTGACTTTCTATTGCCAATCTGCAGTAAAAGTGATATTAACCAGCTCTCTGTGTCTACCTACCTGGTGGCAAGAGACCCAGTGGGGAGCTGAGCTCACACCCTCACTCTGAAGTAGTGAGATGGTTCAAGTCATTGGGTCCAGTTTTATTGGGAAGGTGTCTGTGGGGCTGAAGTCAGCTGAAATTCCACACCACCCATCTGTATTAAGGCACTGTGAATCAGTGCCTCACTTTTGCTAGTGTGATGCGGAATGGGCCCAATGCAAAGCTAAACATAAACAACTATTTAGCGTTTCCACTAAATCTGAACAGGAGACTTTAAAGGTCATTATAAAACATCTCTATATAGTTTTAAAATATTATTATATAGAATCCCAAGCTTCATATTATAAAATTTAAAATGTCAAAGAGAAAACAATTGAAAATCACCCAGTATTCCAAAAACCACGATAATCACAACATGAATGAGAAAATACCACTAATAGACACCAACACTGAGATAAATTAGGATGTTGGAGTTATCTGACAAAAATTTCAATGCAGCTATCATAAAAAATGGTTCAACAAACAATTATGAATTCTCAAACAAATAAAAGCAGAAATACCAACAAAGATTCAGAAGTTATAAAGAATTAACTGGAATTATAAAATAATAATGCAATAACTGAAATAAAAATTTTTCTGGATGAGCTAAATGGTATACTAGAGGTAAAAAGAATAGAAGTAAAATTGAAATAGCCATAGGATTTACCCATTCTGAACGACAGAGAGAAATAAACCAATTTAAAAAATGCAAACCAAATATCAGGGACTTGTAGAATAATAAAAAGAAATCCAACTTTTACATTATTTGAGTTAAAGAAGGAGAAGGGAAAGAGAGTGAGGTTAAAAGAACGACAAAAGAGTGATCAAAATCTTCCCAAAGTTTTAAAAGGACATACACCACAGATTCAAGGAATATAATATACACCAAGTTAAAACCAAACATAATAATATACACCAAGTTAAAACCAAAGAATTTATGCTTCTGATTATAATTAAACTTCTGAAAACTAAGTAAAAATAAAAACCCCTGAAAGCAGCAAGAGAGAGACATATTACTTACAGATAAACACTAATTTGAATAACAGCAGATTGCTCATTTGAAACCATAAAGATCAGGCCGGATGCGGTGGCTCACACCTGTAATCCCAGCACTTTGGGAGGCCAAGGCGGGCGCATCACAAAGTCAAGAGATCGAAACCATCCCGGCCAAAATGGTGAAACCTCATCTCTACTAAAAGTACAAAAATTAGGGCAGGCGCGGTGGCTCACGCCTGCAATTCCAACACTTTGGAAGGCTGAGGTAGGCGGATCACGAGGTCAGGAGATCGAGACCATCCTGGCTAATATGGTGAAACCCCATCTCTACTAAAAATACAAAAAAAAAAAAAAAAATTAGCCAGGCGTGGTGGTGGGTGCCTGTAGTCCCAGCTACTCAGGAGGCTGAGGCAGGAGAATGGTGTGAACCCAGGAGGCGGAGCTTGCAGTGAGCCGAGATCGCGTCACTGCACTCCAGCCTGGATGACACAGCAAGACTCCATCTCAAAATAAAATAAAATAAAATAAAAATACAAAAATTAGCTGGGTGTGGTGGCGCCTGCCTGTAGTCTCAGCTACTTGGGAGGCTGAGGCAGGAGAACCTCTTGAACCCAGGAGGAGGAGGTTGCAGTGAGCCGAGATCGCACCACTGCACTCCAGCCTGGGCGACAAAGCCACACTCATCTCAAATAAATAAATAAATAAATGAAACCATAAAGATCAGAAAGAAATGCCACAATATTTTTATGTACTGTAAGAAATGAGCTGTTAACTGCAAATTGTATATTCAGTTGAAATATTCTTCAAAATGAAGGAGAAATAAAGATAGTGTCAACTGAAAGAAAACTAAAAATTTGCTATCAAACTTAACTTTAAAGAATGACTAAAGGGACTTTTTCTAACAAAATAAAAGGAAGCAATAAAGAATAAGTCTTAACAGCTTCAGATAGAAAGGAACATCACAATGGGTTAAAGAAAAAGTAGATAAATAGAATATGCTATTTCTAATGAGATTTTTAAACAATCTTTGGTGATTTAAGCTAAAATAACCACACCATCTGAAGGGATGCTCAATGTATACAAAATAAATATTTAAGACAATTATCTCTCAAGTCTGGGGCCATATATAACCTAAATAAAAGTAATGTTTCTACACTTCATCTAAAGTGGTAAGGCATCAATATTAGTAGGTTATATTTAGTTACATATGCACCATGTAATTCCTGGAGCAACAATTAAGAAAAGTACATAAAATGATATACTCAAAATCAGTGTAAATAAATTGAGTTAAAATAATTTTAAAAGTTTAAATAACCCAAAGAAAGGCAATAAAAGACAAACAGAGGAAAGAGAAACACAGGAAACAAACCAAAAACAAATAAGGTGGCACAGTTAAGCCTCACTATATCAATGATTACCTTAAGTATCAATGGTCTGCATACACTACAAACAGAGCAAAGACAAGAAAGGAGGATAAAGAAACAAAAGAATAATCCAACAATGTGTTGTTTACAAAAAGTTCACTTCAAATATAACTACATAGATAGATTTAATTTTAAAATAATACGGAAAAGACCATGAAAACAATACTTTTTTCAAAAAAAAAGATGATGATATTAATATCAGCTACAGTAGACATAAGAGCAAAGAAAATTATTAGAGATAAAGGGGGACATTATATAATGACAAAAGTATCTATCGGGAGATGCAACAATCATAAATATTTACACACTGAATAAAAGAACTTCAAAGTATATATAGCAAAAGTTGACAAATCTGAAAAAGCAAATAGATATAGCTATGTATAATTATGGTAAGGAATTTTATTTTTTTATTTTATTTTATTTTTATTTTTATTTTTATTTTTTATTTTTGAGACAGAGTCTCGCTCTTTCGCCCAGGCTGGAGTGCAGTGGCACTATCTCGGCTCACTGCAAGCTCCTCCTCCCAGGTTCACACCATTCTCCTGCCTCAGCCTCCCGAGTAGCTGGGACTACAGGTGCCTGCCACCACGCCCAGCTAATTTTTTGTATTTTTAGTAGAGACAGGGTTTCACTGTGTTAGTCAGGATGGTCTCGATCTCCTGACCTGGTGATCCACCCACCTCAGCCTCCCAAAGTGCTGGGATTACAGGCGTGAGCCACTGCGCGCGGCCATGGTAAGGAATTTTAGCACCCCATATTAGTAACTATAGAAGTACTAAACAAAAAAAGCAGGCAAGTTCAAACAAGATCTAGAAAGCAAAATAAACCAGTAGTGTCCATTTGACATATATGGGACATGCCACAACAACAACAGCAGAATATATTTATTTATTTATTTATTTAATTTATTTATTTTTAAGACACAGTCTCACTCTGTCACCCAGGCTGGAGTGCAGTGGTGCCATCTTGGCTCACTACAACCTCTGCCTCTCAGATTCAAGTGATTCTTGTGCCTCAGCCACCCAAGTAGCTGGGACTACAGGCATGCACCTGGATAAATTTTGTATTTTTAGTGGAGACAGGGATTCACAATGTTGGTCAGGCTTGTCTTAAACTCCTAACCTCAAATGATCTGTTCACCTTGGCCTCCCAAAGTGCTGGAATTACAGGGGTGAGCAACTGTGCCTGGCCTATGTACTTATTTTTAAGAACTCAGAATATTCTCAAAGATAACCATTTTCCTGGCCATTAAAAAATGAGTTTAGATGAGTTGAAATCATAATGAATTTGTTCTCTGACTTCAATGAAATCAAGCTAGAAGTTAATTATAACAAAAAATCATTAAAATATTTAAAACTAAATGATACTCTTCTAAATAATCAATAAGTCAAATAGGAAGTATCAAAGAAAATACAATTCTAGAACTAAATGACAATAAAATACAATACATCAACACTTTTGGAAAAATGATAAAGCAGTACTAAAAGAAATGTACAGCACTGTGTGTTATGCATTAAAAGAGGAGTTTTTAATCAGTAATCTAAATTTCTACTTCAAGAAGCTAGAAAAAGAAGAGTATAATAGTTTGAAACTAAGAAGAAGGAAATAATAGAGATAAAAGAGATGAATGTAAAAATTAAAGAAAGAGGAAAGAAACATGAAAAGTGGCTCAACAATCAGAGACAGGTTTATTTTAGAGAAAATATACCTGAGAGGGGCTTCTGGCCAAGTTAAGTCAGAGGCACACTCTCTTACAGACTAAGAGTTTTTAAAGATTTAGGGTGCGAGAGTTTATCAGAGACTTGGACTGCTTCTGTGTCTCTTTGTTGTGTTTACCTGGGAGGGAGAGTTGTGTGTCTGTTCCCATACGTCTTCCTGCAGCTGCAGGCACACCTGCAAATCCACTTTTATCTTTTTTTTTTTTTTTTTTTTTTTTTTAGATGTAGTTTCACTCTTTTGCCCAGGCTGGATTGCAATGGCACGATCTCAGCTCGCTGCAACCTCTGCCTCCTGGGTTCAAGCAGTTCTCCTGCCTCAGCCTCCTGAGTAGCCAGGATTACAGGTGACTGCCACCACGCCCAGCTAATTTTTGTATTTTTAGTAGATACAGGTTTCACCATGTTGGCCAGGCTGGTCTTGAACTCCTGACCTCAGGTGATGCACCTGCCTCGGCCTCCAAAATTGCTGGGATTATGGGCGTGAGCCAGTGCACCTGGCCTCGAGTCTGCTTTTAGTTTCCCTATCTTAGTGCACCTGAAGGGAAAGGAATATGCTTATTAAGTCCCACTGTTTTACTGAGGCCCGTTGTATGAGGGTGAAGTCTGGCAGGTACGTAAGAGGCTTTCCCCCCATCTCCCTCTGTGCCAGAGCTGTCCTATCTATGTTTTAGTGTCTGCTCTTTCTGTCTGCTTGTTGTTAGAAGGGATTTCCTTGAAATGCATGAGGCTAGAAACTTAAGCTGGAACTTAAAGTGGCAGTGTTTGCCTGAGATGACAGTGCTCCTACTCTGTCAATTAATGGAACTGAAATAATATACAAAAATCTAGTCCTTTGGGAAAAATCCATTAAAACTGATGAATATTATACAAGCATACATAAATAAAAAGAGAGAAAACATAGATGACCAATATCTGAATAAACCAAGGGATTGTACTACAGTCTCTGCAACATTAAAAGAATAATAAGGGGATATTGTAAGAGCTTTACTCATAAATTTGACCACTAAAAATTAACGGTCCAACTGTTTAGAAACTGCAAATTACCAAAACTCAACCAAGATAAAACAGACAACATACATAGTTTAATAACTATTACTTACATTTAATTTATGATATATTTATTTTTTATGTTTTTGATTGTACTTTTTTTTTGAGGTGAAATTCATATAACTTAAAATTAATCATTTTTAATTTTAAAAAATTTTATTTCAACAGTTTCAGGTGGTTTCTGGTTACATGGATAAGTGATTTAGTGGTGATTTCTGAGACTTTGGTGCCCCCATCACCAAGTAGTGTACAATGTACCCAATATATAGCCTTTTACCCTTCATCCCCTCCCACCCTTCCTCCCAAGTCCCCAAAGTCCATTGTATCATTCTTATGCCTTTGCATCCTCATGGCTTAGCTCCCACTTATAAGTGAGAACATACGATGTTTGGTTCTCCATTCCTGAGTTACCTCACTTAGAATAATGGCCTCCAACTCCAACCAAGTTACTGCAAAGGCCATTTTTGTCTTCTGTTTTATGCATAAGTAGTTTTCCATGGTGCATATATACTACATTTTCTTTATCCACTCATTGGTTGATAGGCATACAGTTTGGTTCCATATTTCTGCAATTGTGAGTTGTGCTGCTATAAACATGCATGATCCTGTGTCTTTGTCATATAATGACTTATTTTCCTTTGGGTAGATACCCAATAGTGGGATTGCTGGATGGAATGGTAGTTCTACTTTTAGTTCTTTAAGGAATCTCTATACTGTTTTCCATAGTAGTTGTACTAGTTTACATTTCCACCAACAGTGTAAGAGTCCCCTTTTCACCGCATTTCTTATTTTTTAATTTTTAAATTATGGCCATTCTTGCAGGAGTAATGTGGTCTCTCTTTGTGGTTTTAATTGCATTATCACTAATTATCGGGTTGCATTTCCCTGATAATTAGTGAGGTTAAGCATTTTTTGGTATGTTTGTTGATTGTATATCTTCTTTCAAGAATTGTCGATTTTTGTCCTTTGCCCACTTTTTGATGGGATTGTTTTTTCCTGCTGATTTGTTTGAGTTCCTTGTAGATTCTGGATATTAGTCATTTGTCGAATGCATAGCTGGTGAATATTTTCAATAGGCCCAAGTGTTTTCACTGGAGAATTTTATAAAAGTTTCAAAATAGAATTAGCATCAAATTTATACAATCTCTTCCAGAATATGGAAGAGAAGGAATCAATCCCCCAGTCATTTTATAAGAGCAATAATACCACCGTTTAAAGGAAACTACAGATTATTATGTATTACATATTTTAAATTTCTCAAAATGAGGAAAACAAGTCGAAGTATACAGCTTGACTGCATGAGTTTTATTTTAGGTATACAAGGCCGGTTCAACAATTGAAAATAAAGCAAACTAATTCAATACATCAACAAGATAGAATAGAAAAACATATATGAGATATTATTAAGTGACGCAGAAAATGCATTTGGCAACTTCCAGTACCTATTCAGAACAAACACTCAGCAAATTATAACAGAGGATAACTTCTTCACACTAGCAAAGTGATTCTGTAAGAAAACTATAGCTATCACCACTCATATTCCACATATAAAAACTATAGCCACCAAATAAGTGAAAAATAAATAAATAAAAGATATACATATTAGAAAGGAAGAAATAAAATGAGCCTATATGCAGATGGCATGATTGTCTATGTACAAAATGCCAACAAATCTATAAGGCAATGAGCTCCTAAAATTAACAAGGTAGTTCAGAAACCTCACTGGATAAAAATAATTGCAAAAAATTATTGAATTTCCATACACTAACAAACAGTGAACATGTGGTAATCCAAATTAAACACGCAAAATAACTTCTGATAATTTCAAATGAAATAAAGTATATATGCATAACATGAACAAATATGCATGCCCAACATTACAAAATTTTGATGAAAGAAATAACAGAACATCTAAATAAATAGACATGCCACGTTCTAGGATTGAAAGATTCAACAAGTTAAAGACAATGAATTACAAAAATGGTAAATTAGTTGCCATCAAAATTTTTGTTGCAAAAGATCATGTTAAGAGTATCATTTTAAAACTAAAAAGAGGAAAAAATATAATATTAACAGTATCAAAATATGAGCCACAGAAAAGAAAATATATTTGCAAACTACATATTCTTCTAAGGACTAGTATCTAAATATATAAATAACTCTTAAATGCAACAGTTGAAAATAATTAGTAAGTGGGCAAAAGACATGAATAGTCATTTTATAAATGAAGGTAAAACAGATGGTAAGTGTGTGAAAATATATTCAATATTATTAGGGAAATGCAAGCACAAAGGGTTGTCAATACGTACCTATCTATCAAAATGGCTAAAAAAAAAAAGTGAACATCAAATGCTGGCAAGGATGTGAAGAAATTATCACCCATACCTTTCTGGTGGCAATGTAAAATGGTACAGCCACTCTGAAAACAAGTAAGTTATTATTTTAAAAACTAAACATTCAGTATCATTCAATCTATCAACTGCACTGTGCTCTTGGGTATTCATCCAAGCT
Organism: Homo sapiens; assembly: GCF_000001405.40. Classification (NCBI taxonomy): domain Eukaryota; kingdom Metazoa; phylum Chordata; class Mammalia; order Primates; family Hominidae; genus Homo; species Homo sapiens. Next base: position 63,637,265 of record NC_000016.10, read on the forward strand.
TATGTTCACACAAAAATTTGTAAATAAATGTTCATGGCGTTTTAGTAGCCAAAAATAGGAAACAACCAAAATGCCCCTCAACAGGGGAACGGTTAAGCAAACTGTGGTACATATGCATCATGAAAAACTACTCAATAATAAACAGGAATGAACTAATGATGCACACAACACATTGATGTGGTCTAGAGAATTATAGAGACTTATGATGAGGTTACATTCTGTGTGATTTAGTTAATATAACAATTTTAATGACAAACATAGGAGTGAAGATGAGAGCATAGCAGTTGTCAGTGATGGATGTGGGGACATAGAGGGATGTGGGAATGTCTATAAAAGAGTAAAATAAGGAATCCTAGTAAAGAAATTGCTTGTGGCCAGGCGCGGTGGCTCACGCCTGTAATCCCAGCACTTTGGGAGGCCAAGGCCAGCAGATCACGAGGTCAGGAGATCGAGACCATCCTGGCTAACATGGTGAAACCCAGTCTCTACTAAAAATACAAAAAATTAGCCGAGTGTGGTGGCGGGCACTTGTAGTCCCAGCTACTCAGGAGGCTGAGGCAGGAGAATGGCGTGAACCTGGGAGGCAGAGCTTGCAGTGAACCCAGATCGCACCACTGCACTCCAGCCTGGGCGACAGAGCAAGACTCGGTCTCAAAAAAAAAAAAAAAAAGAAATTGCTTGTATTATGACTGTGTATTATGACTGTGTCAATGTCACAACTTTTCTTTGTGAATATTGTACTATAGTTTTGCAAGACTGTTTCTCTGGATAAAGTAAACAAAAGGTGTCTCTATGTTTCTGATTATTGCCTGTGAGTCTACAATTATGCCAACATAAAATTAATTTAAAAAAATGGTTTTGGCCATGAGATGCACAAAACTTGGTCAATGCTCTGCAAGTTGGCTCTTGACTTCATGGCTGGAGGAATGTGTAGAATAGCAGTAATTAATTAATGATGTTAAAAATAAAATAATCCAAATAAGCAAGTATGCATATAGATTTCTCTCTTGTAAGCACTATTTTTGTTTTTGCTATGACAAGGTTACTATCTCAAAATGTCTATTATTTTTTCTTTGTTTTATTTTCATGTTTTATGCTAAGAATAAGTTTTACATAGCTCTAAAGTTTGATGGACAAATAAGATGTAGATCTGTTGGCAAGAGAAGAATTTTCAATAGAACTGTTGCTTCTGATAAAACTATTCTAAAATACCACTTACATTAACCTCTGAGTTATTGCTTATGGGAGTAACTCCTTCTAACTTGGCCAGTTCCATGGACTCTCGCTTTTTCTTCATATTCCTTTATTTTCCCTTGTGATTCTCCACATCTGCCATTATCCTTAAAGATCTAGCTCTTTCCTATCATGTCACTTTATCTCGCAACATATTTTTCTCTCCCTACATACCAGCAAGACCGGCCACTAATTTGTTACTTGAAGGCAAAACATTCCATTTGTTGCTAATTGGGATTATTTCTTTGCCCCCAACCAATTTCTTCCCACTCTCTTACTTTGCACATTTGTGGCAAAAAGTTTGAGTTTACAGTTTGTGATCTATGTGTATGCTGTGTGTGATTATAACTGCTTAAAGCCTGTGTTCCCCGCTAGATCATAAACTCCCTGAAAGCAGAGGGCATGGGTTCATATTTTACCCCCTATACACCACAATTTACAAATGCTTACCAAATATTGGGAAAGAGGGGAAGTGAAAGAGAGAGAGAGAGAGAAATAAAGAACATGAAGAACGAGAGGGAAAAAGAGAGAGGGGAAAAAGAGGAGAAAGAAAAGAAAAGAAGGGAGAGAAAGAAGATGAGAATACAGAAAGAAAATGGAGTAATTGTTTATTTGGCAATTTGACAGATAATTTTAGCACTACTTTTAGCTAGCTTATTATGACTTCCGGTGGGCTCTGAAAAAGCAAAAACTCATCTTGGTCCAGGCTGTAGTATTGGTAGACTTATTGAACACCTATGGTATATCATTTGGAGGATTCATTAATACAAATGGAAATGTTGCTGCTTACTTGAAATTTAACATCTAGTTGGAAAGAATCACATGGGAAGTTGCAAAATAATGCTATTTGCCTTTTGATATGTAACACAGAATCTTAATCCTCATGACATCCTGAAAAAGATACAATATATGTTAACTAGATCATTGGCACATACACAGAATTATTCAAAGGAAAACAGTCACATATGATATTGCCACCCTCTAATGATTACTGTTAATATTTTGTTGTTTTCTCTAAAAACTTAAATATGTAGCAGTGTAGTTTTACAATTGACCATGGCATATTTCCAATCCTTTCTGGAGATACTATAAAAATATTGCAAGTGAAATTGTTTTTTAATCCCAAATATTTATTCCAGTTTTTCAAAAGAGAGGACAAATATCCAAATCAAATAATGGTAGAATAGTGCTCTTCATTAACAAATATGGCTGCATAAGTCAGAAGTTCTTTTACCAGGTCCCATGGCCACTTAGGGCTGTATAAAAATTGAGAATTTCATATCTGTAATTTTTAAACAACATTTTAAATTTCTGTTAGATATTAAAAGGCCTTTGGAACTTTGTCAAATTTATTGCTCACTGTATCTAGATATAGACCAACATTTACTGGCTGTGATAAACACTAGTTGGTAATACTTCAAAAAATATAGCATCCATTTGTTGAGTGCTATCTTAGTATGTTTTGTGTTGCCATAACGGAATAACCGAGGCTGGGTAATTTAAAAAGAACAGAAATTTATTTCCTCACAGTTCTGGAGGTCATGAAGTCAAAGATGAGGACTTCATGACCTCCAGAGGCATCTGGTGAGGGCGTTTTTGGTGCGTCATTACATGATGAAAGAGCAAAGAGACAGGAGGGCTTACTTTCCCTTTTATAACAGCACCGATTCCACCCATGGGGGCAGAGCCCTCTTGCCTAATCACTTATTAAAGGTACCCCTTCTTAAAACTATTGCAATGTCAATTAAATTGAAAAAAAAAAAAGGAGTATGTCACCACTTCCAGGACTGTTTTGAAAGATGAGCATTTGTCTAAGACTAAGATAATTCTTCACTTTTCATATAATCCAAAATGGTTCAGTCCCATTTTGATAGAATTTGATCTGAACTTTTAAGCAACTGTAGTGCTTTCATTCTCAAATCTCAATGCTGCCTGAATCTTTGAACACCAAACCAAGGCAGATCTCCTGAAGATGTGTGAGATGCCATATACCACCATTTTTACATAATCAACCCTGAACAGATTGTAATAGTGTCCAACAGTTTAATTTGACACTCTTGAGTTATTTAGCAAAAAGTTAAAGCAGGTCTGGGCATATAATTTTTTTTTTCAATTAGGTTCTTTCAGGAGATTCAGGAAATGAAATTATAGCATAGAAGTTAGGTCCACATAGAGAAATGCACTGTGTCTGGGAAGTGACATTGAAGTCTATGGGTAGAGGTGGTGGTGGAAGTGGAGAATGTGGGTAAGGATTATATTTACCGAGTTTTCACCTACACTTCCTCATTTTTAATTTGCTCGTATATTTATCCATTCATTCATTCATCAGTATCGTTTTTTAGAGCTATCGAGATTTTCCAACACCATATTTACAACATGTTAAAGAAAAAAAAAGGAATCAGAAAATTTCTGATATTTCTATAGTTATTACATTCTTCTTTCCTACTTTTCTTACTTCTTTCCACTTTTCTTATTTTCCTTCATTTGGTGTTTCTTCCATCCATTCAAATATTTTCCCCAAATTTTCCTAAAATCTTACTATGTTCTGAGTTCTGTGGAAGGTGGTGGCAATGTAAGAATAAGACATGATCCTTGAGCTCAAGATGTTACTTTCTAGTGGATTTTCATATGTATAGTGCACTACATTCTGTGATGTGCACTATAAGAGATTTCAATGGAAGGTTTGCGAGTCCAGAGGTATTACAGAAAAATATTGATGGCCACACATACCCACGTTCATATCATGTCTTTATAACAGGGGCAGGTTACTTCAAGTTTTAGCCTTTGCATCTCATGGGGCTGTTATAAACAAGCAATAATAACATATGTTGAGCTTATTAAGAGATATAAATACCTCCCCTTTCATACAGGGACAACATAGTGATCAGAGATACTTCACTTAGCCTTCTGATCTTAATATTAATTGCAAATACTGCATTCATAAGAGAATTTTTGTCTGTACTGAATATGTGCAGACTTTTTTCTAGTCATTATCTTCTAAACAATACAGTGTGATAACTATTTACATTGCATTTACACTGTATTAAATATTATAAGTAATCTATAGATGTTTAAAATATACAGGAGGATGTGCACAGGTTATATGCAAATACTACCTCATTTTATATCAGAGACTTGTGCATCCATAGATTCTGATATTCTGGAGCAGTCCTGGAACTAATCCCCATGGATACGGAGAGACAACCGTACTTTCTTGCTTGGTATTAAAAATACTACTAATTGGTATACTGGGAATAGTTTATATTTTAAGCTGGATCATGGCTACATATGATTACTTATATTAAATCATTCAGCTATACACTAAAGTTTCATGGTCTTTATGTACTTGTTATTTATTTTTTTCTTTGGGTGGATGTTAATCTGAAGGAGAAAATGAGGGAGGAGGAGGAGGAAGATAAAGAAAAAGCAAACTTGGTGAGAAATATGAGTAATGGCTTTGAAACGCAAATGATGATTTTAAAGAGAGACCAGATGTTGTCAGAGTTGGTTTAGTGGGAAGTTAATATGGATTTTGATGTAGTTACAATCTTCACAATATTTAAGCTGTGTTTATATATCTTTAGATTTGCTTCCTAAGCCAAGCATAAAAATTAGACTTTTTAAACTGTCCTGTCTCATTTGATTCAATCTTCCTAAAAGTCAGGTACAAGAAAGATGAACATTTACCAGTTTAATGATTCTCAGGGAGATAATTATAGAAGAAATAACAATAAGTAACAATGCCTGAACTGGGGAATTATAATGTTAACCGAGGAAAGCAGAAAACATATCTCAAATATCATAGAAGAGACACATCCAGTTTGGTCTTCCTACTTCTTTGGGTCTCCTTAAACATTTATGCTCCTTCATGTTCTATATATTCTGAGCCTCTATTCAAGGAGAAATTGGAGGCCATCCTGAATTTTATTCCTTTGCATTTCTCTGATTCAGTTTTTCAAAGATGCATGAGTGTTTGTAATACTGTTTCCATTATGCTAAAATACACAATTTTCATTAAGACATGTCTAAGTGGTTGATTTCACCAACATTCCTTTGTTAGGAAGAATGCCAAGGTCAAGCAATCCTGAAGAAAAGAGAGAATTGCAGGATCCAGCATCTCAGAGTTAGGCACTAGGTCCTGAAGGGACAATGACTCTGCTTTTTTGGTCTTTCTGCTTAGCTCTACCTGCTTTTACTATGAAATGAGCTTTTCACATATAGCTGCCAAAAAAATGTCATAAGTCTATACTCAAACATCCCAGTCTTAGAACTTGCATTGAAAAATGGAGCTTCTTTATTGAATTTCTCTAGATCAACGCCATAAGAAAACATTTCCTCTACTTGGTTTTCAGCCCGAGCAATGTCACGGCCCTTGAATTAACAATCAAAACCATGGGAAAGTGACCTATGTTTTGCCAGACCCTGTGTCACAGGACCTTCTCTTCACAAAGCTAGACAGGTTGCTAAGATCCTCAGCTCAATTAAGGCCACATTGCATGGGATGTAGTTTTCTGAAAGATGGTGTACTAAACAAATGGAGTAAAGATGTGTCTACTAATGCATCTAGGATGCAGATTTGGGGGATTAATTTGTTTACTAATCTTTGATCTTTTGAATCAAATGCCTGATTATTTTTAATGTAAGAGATATATTTCTTTTTTTTTTTTTTAGGTTTTTTGAGTTCTCATTTTTTTGGATCTTTCCTTTTGAAATAAAAATTATCAGTGAATTGATTTTCCTGGATACATTCTCCATGTATTTTCTCCTTCTACTTATCTTGTTAAATAGCCCCATCGCTTTCCACTTTGACTTAATAACCCATGGAGGATTAATTCTGAAATCCTCGTTTTTCTGATTCTGTCCCATACAATCACTCTCCCAAAACTTTTTTTTGGTGGGGGCGGGGGGGATGGCATATCGCTCGGTTGCCCAGGCTGGAGTGCAGTGGTGCAATCTCGGCTCACTGCAACCTCTGCCTCTGGGGTTCAAGTGACTCTCCTGCCTCAGCCTCCCGAGTAGCTGGGACTACAGGTGCCCGCCACCATGCCCGGCTAATTTTTTGTATTTTTTAGTAGAGTCGGGGTTTCACCATGTTAGCCAGGATGGTCTCGATCTCCTGACCTCATGATCCACCCGCCTCGGCTTCCCTCTCCCAAATCTTTTTACTTCATCTCTTAAAATACTAAATTTTTCTTTATAGCCGCTCTCCATATCTTGATATGGTGGAATTAATTCTCCTCTCTTGTTTTATTTCTCATCTCCTTTAATTTCAGAAACAAAGTAGGAGATGACTAGCACAAATTAGTAGAAACTAACAAGTGTAGGTGGTCAAATAGGCCTGAGTTTAATATTTGTAATTTGCTAGCTGGATAACCTACAGAAATTCACTTAATTCCTCATTTATAAAGTGGGAGAAAATAATCTTATACCTCACTTTTTTAGGAAATAAGATAAGCAAAACATTTAGTTGTTGCTTTAGTGATATCTCGGTCTAAAACAAATGAAAGTTGTTTCACTAAGGTGATCTACTCAAAGAAAAGTGTGTTTGTTACTCATCCTAAGAGTTTGGTAGGTCCCATTGCAAATAGCAAATTCACATGACTTATAATGGCCTGCTCAACAAAATATCAACACATTTCAACATATTTTATATTCAAGACACCACTAAATTTCTATCAATTTTTGTGTGCCTTATCCTTTATATATTTTTTGTTAAAAGGACTTTATGTTTGGCTGAAGTGTTCTTTGCTTTCCTTCCACCCAAATTTTTGCTCTTTCTTCAACCAGAACATATGATGCTTATTCCATGAAATATTTTCTAAATGCTTAAATCAACTGCAAGTGTTGGTGCTGGAACACTGAACACATACCTCTTAGCCTATCTAATAAGTTGAATCATAGTTATATATGTCCATGTGTATCTCTCCCTCAGGTAGTTAGTACATTCAAGGACATAAAATATTTTATTTATTGTTACCAAGTTTTCTTTATACTATTCTCTAATTTAGAATGTGGATTTTTACCAGGTATGGGTTGCAAAGAGGTAGGAACTAAGTATGTTTGCATCATATTTTATTTGTATTGTCCCATCCAGTCCTCAAAATAGTCATTTCTCAAAAGTGTCTTGCATGGTGAAATAAGCAGTTGAAAAGACAAATTGGTAGGTGGAAGAATGAATGATTAGGCAAATGCTTTCTGGGTTAAAATAGTTTTTGGTATATGTATTCATTCACTAAATATTTGTTAAACTTATAATACAAAGTAAAACTGTTCTTCTATTCTGATATAAATACACCTTGAGTGATTTATCATTCTAATTGCCTTGGAAAATAAATTCTTTTAAAACAGATATTTCAGAGATATTTTTCAAACTTAGTTAAACCAAATTATCTATCATTAATTTTTATTACACATTATGGTACAGACATATACAGGTTGTCTGTTCTGTGTTGCTTTCTGGAATGGTAAAGCACTGCCGGTGCTTGGACGATGGCCCCTTGATACTCTTTGTACCATGCTCAGAGTGCTGGGGAAGCAGAGTCTGGGCTTCTTTCTGAGTCCTCAGGGAATCTTTTGAGGCTACTTTGCCCTGAGCAGTTTTACCCAAGCATGACATGTATCTGATTTCCTGTGAGGATGTTATACACAGAGAATCAATAACTCTTAGCGAAGAAGGGAAGATTACTTTTAGCATCTTTTTAAAAAAGTGACAGCTTTCTTTTATCAGTTGATTAATATAAGTATGTATAACCACATTACAACTAGCACACATTCATAGGGAAGATTAATCAGATCTGAATAGAAATATAATAAAACCTTTTTTTAATTTCAGAGAAGAATTATTCATAACCCTTTAAAAATAAGCCTACTGAAAAGAATATTAAAAGATAATTTATATTTGTGAACCATGGGCATTTTGGGGGCCAATAAAGATGGAATAGTGGAGCAGAATACAGTTGATGATTCAAAGTTGTATCCTCAATTTTATACCTCTGTCACTGTAATGACATGGGCACATATATATATCCTGAGTTGGATCCATACCAGCCCTCAGGCATCTTTATAATAATGTGATTGCCAAGTAGATGAGCCCATGATCCATTAGTTATTTTATTCATTAAATCAAAAAATGATTGTTCATGCCTAATATATGCTGAGTACTATCTTACGTAATTGATGCATAGTAATTAGAAAAACAAAGATCACTCCTGACTTCATAGTACATAGTGTCTATGAGGAAAGAATGTCAATTCACAGGTCAACCAATAAGCATGCAATTAGATAGTAAGAAAGAAATGCTAGGGTGTTGATAAACAAAATACGACTCTGATAAAGATTAATTAAAGAAAGCTACTGGGATAGGTTTGCTTTGAAAGACCTGAGGAAAAAAGCAATAAAAGAAAATCAATGGAAGACTTTTAGAACATGAAGGAGTTAGTTATGGGGTTGAAATTCCAAGATGAACAGAGGGTATTCCCAACCTTTCTAAAACAAACAAACAAGACTATTATTTTGGAAATTCACAGGAAAAATAGAGAATTAGAACATAATGAAGAAAGGGGAGAATGGCTTAAAGTTTAGTTGGAGAGTTTCAAACACTTTTTAATCTGATAAGCGATTTTAATATTATTTTATGTTCAATAAACGTTGAGATTTTTATTATTTGAATAATGTATTTAAAGTAATGACATGATTTAATTTATATTTTAAATATAATTCTGACTTATTGTAAAAAATGACTTTAAAAGAACAACAACAAAAGTAGAAATGACTTGTGGTATTAATATTATGTGTCAACTTAACTGGGCTAAAAGATGCCCATATTGCTGGTAGAACATTATTACTGAGTGTGTCTATCAGGGTGTTGCTGGAAGATATTAGCATTTGATCTACAGACTGGATAAAGAAGATACCCTTACCAATGTGAGTGGCCATCCCCCAATCTATTGAAGGCCTTAACAGAAAAAAGAGGCAAAGGAAGTACAAATTTGCTCTCTGTTTGACAGGGATATCCACCTTCTCCTACCCTCAAACACTGGCAGTCCTGGTTCTCAAGACTTCAGACTCAGACTAACTTTCCTGTTTCTCCAGTTGTCAGACAGATCATGGGAGTCCTTGGCCTCCATAATTATGTGAGCTTATTCCTATTTTATATGTCTATCTCTCTCTCTATCTCTATCTCTCTCTCTCTCTGTGTGTGTGTGTGTGTGTGTGTGTGTGTGTGTGTGTATGTTTTACTGATTCTGTACTGATTCTGTTTACTCTAAATAATACACAATAAACATATAAATGGAAATAATTGAGTCTGTCCCTGGAGATTTCAACGTGAGAGAAAAGAACCCAAAGACATCAATCAGAAGCCAATATATCTTAATTATTTTGATTGAAATGTAGTTTAGATGGAGAAGGACACCGGGGTGAGAAATTAATAAGATATTGCTAGCCTGAGGCTTATATTTTTTTCTGTGATGTTCCCTGTATGAATTAGGCTGAAATCAAGACACACTTCATTTTTATTTGGTCTAAGAAAATTTTCTAAATTTCTGTAATCCCAAAGGGATCTGGACTGTTTAAGTTATTTTTGAAAATTTAGAGAGCACCGTCCCTGGATAGAAGAAAACAAACCTAAAAATACATGATTATGTGAGGAAATAATTCATTTATGTTCCCACATACATTATTTTACTTATATTGATGAATACAAGTAACTTATTGTATACATACCATCTCCACAATATCATACAAATCATTAGAAACTGCAGATTTATTAGTTAAAAGAACGTAGCCTTTCATTCCTTCCATTTTTTTTTAGGGACAACCTGGGACTTGAATGACATTCAATCTTGTTAAATTCTGCTGTCTGTTATCAGTATAAACATCTATATTGGAGCTTATTATGATAATATATATGAGTGTGATTAACTGGCTTTACCTTCCTGAATAAAAAAAAGTTAAATTGGTTCTTCTTTAGTTTCTTCTTCCCCCCAAAGAAAGATTGATATTGACAATATTCAAACTTTCATTTAGCTTTAGTTTTCTATGAGAAACATTTGAGAACAGCAAAGGGATGGTTCCTCTTCTCTGCTTTATGGCTTGGAAATAGTTTTACGTGAAAGATTCTCCTGATCCATATGATCATTGAGAAAAATCCAATAGGTAGGATGAGAACATATTCTATACTTTTCAAACTTCTAGAGAATGCCAGATTCCTTATTCAGTTTAACAAACGTTCCTTTACCTTCTACTGTGTGTCATGTATGAGGTATGTAGGGACTCAAAATACAGTATCTGTCTTCAAGGTGTTCATGGTCCAGTGTATTAGCTCATTTTCATGCTGCTAATAAAGACATACCCAAAACTGGGAACAAAAAAAGTTTAACTGGTGGCACTTCTTACATGGTGGCAGCAAGAGAAAATGAGCAAGAAGTAAAAGCAGAAAATGAGCAAGAAGCAAAAGCAAGAAGCAAAAGCAGAAATGCCTGATAAACCCATCAGATCTCGTGAGACTTATTCACTATCACAAGAATAGCACAGGAAAGACCGGTCCCCAGGATTCAATTACCTTCCCTTGGGTCCCTCCCATAATGGGTGAGAATTCTGGAAGATACAATTCAAATTGAGATTTGGTGGGGACACAGCCAAACCATATCATCCAGTAAAAAATAATTGGTAAGTAAATGACAATGAAAATCTAGGGAGAAAAGATAAATGATTGAGCTATTAATAACATTATGATCCTGTAAAATTGGAACATGGATTTTATTTTCAGTTTCCAAATAAATACAGTTCTTCTGGAATCTATCCCAGACTAATTGCTTCCTTAGCAATTTCCCAACATGTCTGACAGCTCCTAAATAATTAAACAAAACACTAGTTCAAGAAATATCTTTAGCCACTAAATTTGAAAGTAGTTTCGAGATCCTTTTCGGTAAGTTGATCAATACAGATTACATGCCACATCATCCACTTTGAATTTATTCCTATAGTTTATCTTAGCTTTGAGTGTAGCCATGGTTAATTGCTAATCCATATTCATCGAACATCACAAATGAGGGCATAGTCAGGGGATACTTCATGTACCATCTCATCTACTGTGGAAAGTTATAGGCTCAAATTTTCATCATCTTTTACAGTTGTTCGATTTCTCTACACCTCTTAGAATAAAAAAATGAAAAAAAAATCGTTGCAGATCATCATAAATTTTGCATGGTGAAGCTTAGCAGGTAATGACTTATTAGAAACAGGGACATAATTGAAATTGCCATCATATACCAGTTGAATTGGTTTAGTTGGACCATATGAGTTAAAGATATCTTTTCAGTTGTGAAATTATTTATATTTTCCAAGGCACCAACTCTACTAACATTGAAAATGTAATTATTGGAATGTTTTATGAATTCTAGTTGAAATTACCTCTAAATTAATGTGAGGCATAGAGTTGTAAATTAATGCTTACTACTTAAACTCCTAGATATTTCCAAATCAGATTTATTCTTTCACCCTGAGTCCAAAGATTGTTGAAAACTCTATGGTAGATGGGCCACTAAAATGATATGAATAAGGAAACAGGAAATTCAATTCTGATTCAGAATAGGCTAATTTTGTAGAGTTTTCCAACTCTGAAATATATTGTACTAAAATTTTTAACTGTTTTGGTTGTCCAGCATGACATGCAAGCAAAAATTGAACTATGCAATTAACATTTTGATTTTTGTAAGCAATTATATATATAAATATTAGTTAGGAGGTAGCAACTTGTCACATAAAAAAGTTTGTGAAATGTAATCTTTATCTAGCCTTCAAATTTTTACAATTTTATCTCATGTTAATGATTCACCTACAATTTCCAGAACTTTTCAACACTAAAAAATTAATATTTTTATTAATTAAGGACATAAGTTAATAAAAATATCATGCCCATTTCTGCTTTCAACCATGTTTCCAACTTCTCTATTGGTTGACTTAGTGTAGTGAAAGAGAATTTAAAAACAGTGTTAGAAATTAGATGAACGCTGCCTTTGTCTATTTTCTGCTGCTATAACAGAGTAACACAGACTGGGTAATTCATAAATAGAAAAATGTATTTGACTCATGGTCGTGAAAGTTGAGAAGTCTAAGAGCATATTGCTGGCATTTGAGGAAGGCCATCCCATGGCAAAAGGCAGAAGGGCGGGAGCAACCATGGCAAGACAGAGAGCAAAACGGGGGCAAAATTTATCTTTTTATCATAAGCTCAGTTTTGTAATAACCCCCTCCCAGGATAACAGCATTAATTTCACCATGAGGGCGTAGCCTTTCTAACTCAATCATCTCTTAAAGGTTTCAATCTTCATACTGTCAAAATGGTAATTAAGTTTTCAATATATGAACTCAAAAGCCATTCCCATGACCTTGTATAAGCAACATCAACTTATTAATCTTCTCTTACTGCCCCTATGAAATTACACTGGCTAAAATTTAAGAACAAAAACAATAAGTATTGGTCTTTAGCTTTCAGGGTTATATATATTATTTCCTCTCAACGACAAATTCAAGCATAATATTTTTGAAGTCATACAACAGGAAATACACCCTTTGCTTAAAAATGTAGCTTCGTATTGCTTTCTGGACAAGATATAAACTTATTTTCATGGTTTTCCAAATCTTATGGTTTTATAGATGAAAAGACTGAGCTTTAGAAAGACTAATTTTAATAACTACCACTGTTAACATGTGACCATGTATCTGAACTTGAGTCTAACTATGATGCTAACATTCCTCATTGTTACAATCTGCAGAGTATATAGGGTTTATCTTATCAAGAAAGTCTGTCAGTCTATGTTATAGCAGAAAATGATGGAAAACAAAAAAGGGTTTAACTAAAGAGAATGTAATTAGAAATTATGTAGAGAGTTGTAGGCAGAGTTGTGGAAATCAAAAGGAGCCATCTCAGCCTCTCAAAGTGCTGTAATCCCAGCACTTTGGGAGGCCAAGGTGGGCTGAACACTTGAGGTCAGGAGTTCGAGACCAGCCTGGCCAACATGGCGAACCCCATCTCTACTAAAAATACAAAAATTAGCCTGGTGTGGTAGGGCACACCTCTAATCCCAGCTACTAGGGAGGCCAAGGCAGGAGGGTTGCTTGAACCCAGGGGGCGGAGGTTTCAGTGAGCCGAGATCACAACACTGTACTCCAGCCTGGGTGACAGAGTGAGACACCATCTCAAAAATAAAATAAAATAAAATAAAATAAAATAAAATAAAATAAAATAAAATAAAATAAAATAAAATAAAAAAGGAGATGATGAATTGCACACAGACTAATAATAGCTAAAAGCAGTTTTCACAACTAAATTGTACGGGACAAGGGACGTGACTGATTTACCTAGAGATTCTGTTGAAATAGAGCTTGGGAGAAAGGCTACCCAACTGTATCCACAGAAAAATAAGTCATTTCCAGAGCCACAGAAAAGCAGGAAATAATCCCAAACTTTATATTGTTCAATGTCTCTTTTTTTTTTTTTTTTTGATGGAATCTTGCTCTGTTGCCCAGGCTGGAGTGCAGTGGGCACGATCTCAGCCCACAACCTCTGCCTCCCACATTACAGTGATTCTCCTGCCTCAGCCTCCTTAGTAGCTGGGATTACAGGTGCACACCACCATGCCTGGCTAATTTTTGTATTTTTATTAGAGATGGGGTTTCACCATGTTGGCCAGGCTAGTCTCGAACTCCTGACCTCAGGTGATCCACTCACCTTGGCCTCCCAAAGTGCTGGGATTATATTCAATGCCTCTTACTGGACAAACTCGACAAAAGTTAGAAGGCATGGGAGCCAAGGAGATGTCATCCTTAGAGATCACAGAACGAGACAGGCCAGAAAACGGAGGAAAATAAAGAAGAGAAGAAAATAAAAAATAACTAAGCATAAAGACTTTCTTGATACACCCCAATGGTGTTAGGAGTCCCTCTTGGTTTCTTCCTTTGCATTCTGTTTGTTTTTTGTATAAATTTTTATCATACTGTATAAAAGTTAATTTTTAAATTGTCTTAATCTACTCCTATCTCCTAGTATGCAAGATCTCTAAGAAAATGGACTGTGTCTCTTCTTTTCCCCACAATTCCATTTATAATGTCTAAGATAATACCTGGAACACATTTTATACAATGCGTATACTAAATGAACAAATGAGAATGAATAAATATAAATAACAAAGAACCACTTTAAACTTCCAAATGTTCAAACTTCTAAACTTATATAAGTGAACCAAATTATTTATTCCTTTATGGCAAAAATTTGTTATTGCTACTGTTGTGGTTGTATTTGTTTGTGTGTTTGTGTGCATGTGTGGTGTCTGTGTAGGTGTACAGCTTACATGTAGCAAGAGGCACAAATGTTAAGCATACAGCTTTTCTAACATTTACATGTGAATACACTCACATGTTTAATAAATGGATTGATTTCCAGGGATACTACTCAAAATCTAGGCAAAAAGTTTTGTCCCGATCAGTATTAGTAGCTCATTAAATTGAAAAATCCAAGATTTCTATATGGGGGGACCTTAGAGTTGCCAATATGTGTTCTCGAGATCTTTCCTGCAGGCTCCATTTTGCATAGCAAGCTTTCTGTTTTCACTTGTATTGTTTATTTATCTTGGGTGATTTGGGGATCAGTACCTATGAAATTAAAGGCAGAGGCACTAAAATACATTGTGTGAATCTGGGAGGGACCATTCATATTGTAATTTACCCTAGTGGTACCCTGTTGATAGTATGCTGGGATTGCAGTGATGAGCTAAAGCTCTCCCAAACCACTCTTTGGCCGCTATCCCTAGCACCATTGTGTTCATCATGTTCAAAGGAACTGCTGACAATGATTCTCTTTGTTTGTTAAACACATAAATGAGCTCATAGTTTGGTGCTGATTAACAAATACACTGAATTTAGAGAACTTGATACACAGCCCACTGACCTTGTTACTTGTATTCCATCTTGAAATCCACTCAGTAGTTACACCAATATTATAATACCAATGATTGGGCTTGATCCCAGTTTTCTCGTGTCAAAAAGAGAAAAATTTTTAAATAAAGCCAACTAGGGTGGGTTTAGTGACAATAAAATTTTGTTTAAATGTATAAAGCAAATAGCCCAATGTCTAAAACTTAATGTAACTACAATAAAACCATTTTCTCTTCCAGGTCATTTCTAAATTTTGTAAAAAGAATAAAATTAAAGGCACATCTTTATTTTTCTGTGAAGTATATCTTTAATTTCATACCCCCATTTCTTCTGGTTTGAGACTACCTCTAAGATACCATGCTATATCCCAGTACTTTTTCTTACCCAAGTCATTTGTTTACCTGCATCAGTTTTCTAGTAATTTTGGCATGGAACACTATCAAAGACATTTATAATTAGATGAGTAATATTTGTTCCAGATTATTCCTTTACCCCCTTTCTTTAATGGAACTGTGAATATTTGTGATCTGTTTATATAGTTACATATATATAACCTTTAAAAGTTTCCCTTTGTCTACTTATATGTTGAAGAATTAATGAACTTAGTTCTTTGTGAAAAAGGAATAAAGCAAGCAGATGTGGGAGAAGTCCACTTTACGACTTCAGTGAACTGGTTGTGTTCTGATTAAAGAATAATGCTTAGAATTTCATATTGTCAACACAAGGGAAATTAGCATGTCCATATTTGAATTTAGTGCATAATTTGGCATGCAGTATAAGACCATAAATATGCTAGTACGTGCCTACGTAACAATTTGTGGCATGAATCACATGTAATATTTACTCTGAGTTGGTTTTAAAGCGCATTTGGAAACCAGAATTAACCAGATGACACTTTATTATGTATTGGGACTGATGTAATGTAAAATTTAATTACATAATATTTCACACACAGCTGTGACAAAACATATATGAGC